>NW_009646197.1:300000-451168 GCF_000001405.40 Homo sapiens | reverse complement strand
GAATTCTGACTGCAATAGGCACCAGTGCCCAACACATACAGCCCCACCATCATCCCCTTCTCATTTTATAAACCTCAAAGTGGATTCACTTTCTGATAGTTAACCCCCATAAATGTGCACGTACCTGTGTCTTATCTATATTTTAACCTGGGAGACTGTTGTCCTGGCATGGAGATGACCATGATGCTGGGGTTACCTCACAGTCCCCACCCTTTCAAAGTTGACATATGGCCATCCCATTGGCCAGAATCCACAGACACACCTAAGCCTGTGGCACTGGGACAGAATAGATTTTCCATTTGAGAGGCACTTCCTGTGTCAGTCTTGTTTGAAGGAGGTGGTGATGGTGGATAGAGGTGAAGGAGGTAGGGAGTGCCCTCCAAGTGCAAAAATAACAAATATGATTATTGACCATCGGGGAATTCTCACACATTGATTTGTTTTTTAAGCAATTGCCAGAAACCCCCTTTTTTAGCTTTTGCTTGGGGTGGGGGTAGGAGTTAAGGTTTATTCAATCCTGTCCTGGGTAGGGCGAAAGTTAATCTAGCCATGTGATTTTTCAGAAAAGTAAGTGGAACATGCTGCCACTTTTCAATTCTGTCAGTGCTTCCACATGGAAACAAAATGCAATAAAATTTTTCCAAAACCTGTTCTGATTTAGCTCTCTCTTGAGGTGTTACCCTTAGTGGGAGGCCGACTATCCACAATCTACTTGAGTTTTCTCTGGTTGGGTGTTTGTTTCATTGCTCTGTCTCTTGAATGAGGATACTTTATTTTTTTTGTTTTAAAATGCATTTATGGTCCCTCTCTTGAACCAGCTTGCCCCACCAGGCCTCTTTCCTTTGCTTTCTGCAGCCTGAATCAATTCCTTTGTGCTGATGGGCTCTCCTAAGAGCTTTCCTGAGTCAGTTAACTTTACCTCGTGTCTACGGTGCTATTCATGCGATACGGGCGAGGCTGAGATGCTAAGATTAAAAAGAAAAGAATGCTGTTTTAGATCAAGTTGATAGCATTTGTTTTCCATATGCTTTTTTAAAATTTTTTCATAACATACAGCTCAGTTAGGTGTATGAAAGAAGTGTTATTGTATTAAATAACTAGAGCAGGGCTACAGCTCTGGCCCTCCCCTAGGGGGAAGAGATTGGTAATACTCCATCTTCCAGGGCATTTTTTAAAGTGAGCCAGGTTAGCTCTTTTCCCCTGGCATTTCTCAGGAATGCAGTAGATAGTGCTGAAGATGCACTGACTTTTTTTTAGTCCTAAAAATAGAAACTCCTCCTTTAAAGCTGTGCATACTATGCTTATCTTTCCAATAGAGTGGGGTTCCTTCAGATATCCTATAGGATTCTGCCTCTGGTTTTGTATAGGCCTTGGCTAGAAAGAGTCAATGTTTCTGAGCTCTCAAACCAGTTGCTCTCAGAAGATAGGAATACCCCAAGGTTCCTGGCATTTTTCCTATTTCATTTTTGTTCAGACTGATATTTTGCCAAGAGCACAATGACTGAGGAATGTAGCCATCATTTGCAGGGTAGTGATTGGTTCCCAGCCTGGCTTCCACACAGGACAGGAAGGGAAAGCATCCCTGAGCTCTCCTCAGTATTTCCGGATGTAATGAAAGAGGACATCTTTCTACACAAAGTCAGCCCCAACTTTTGGCTTGGTCACAGGAGTTCTGATAGTACTGTTTGGTGCACTCATGGGAAATTGAACCAGTCGTAGCCACAGTCTTTCAGAGCCTGGGCTCTGGGGAGTGGAAGTGAAAAATAAAGATGTGGCTTGTTGGATTGTGATCCCCAGCTTGCTTTCCTTCTGTCAACTCTGTCAGGTTTGTGTTCATAGCAACTAGACTGAATATGCAAAAGGCTTAGATCCAAGCAAATCTATAATCTATGCATATTTGCATGGGCTTGGTAATATCATGTACACAAAACACATTTGGGTAGAAGTGCATGTGCTAAATCTCCTTTTAGTCCCACCATTTTGTCTTCTTCATACTGTACTTCCTCTTTTTTGTTTGAGACAAGGTCTTGCTCTGTCACCCAGGCTGGAATGCAGTGGCACAATTAGAGCTCACTGCAGCCTTGAACTCCTGGGCTCAAGTGATTCTTGTGCCTTGGCCTCCTGAATATCCAGGGCTACAGGCACGTACTACCATGCCTGGCTAATTTTTTTGTTTTTTAATAGAGTCAGGGTCTCACTGTGTTGCCCTAGCTAGTCTCAAATGCCCGGCCTCCAGCAATTTTCCTGCCTTAGCCTCCCAAAGTCCTGGGATTACAGGCGTGAGCCACTGGGCCCAGCCCTGTACTTCTTGAAAAAGCCCCAAGTATTAGCTTTTGCTCATCTGGCTAGGCCACTTAAATAGTTAGAATCCACCGTCCCCTAATGCAGAAACCGTTTAGGTGAGGTAAATTAACAAACATTTTAAGCCGGGCGCGGACACTTCTCACTGTGGACATCCCTCACGCCTGTAATCCCAGCACTTTGGGAGGCCGAGGCGGGCAGATCACGAGGTCAAGAGATCGAGATCATCCTGGCTAACACGGTGAAACCCTGTCTCTACTAAAAATATAAAAAAATTAGCTGGGCGTGGTGGCAGGCGTCTGTAGTCCCAGCTACTTGGGAGGCTGAGGCAGGAGAATGGCGTGAACCCGGGAAGTGGAGCTTGCAGTGAGCCAAGATCGCACCACTGCACTCCAGCCTGGGCGACAGAGTGAGACTCCGTCTCAAAAAAAAAAAACAAACATTTTAAACATGTATGTGAGGTTGGCATTACACAGAAACTCCTCTCCGGGTGGGCTGGGATGGGCTTTCTCAGCCAGGCTAATGGGTTTTAAATTTCTCTCTTTTCAAGACTTGCAGTGCATCAGCTTAAAGGGTGAGCCAGCCAGTAGAGGGGAAGGCGCCCCACCTAGAAGGTGCCCTTAGATATCAAAGAAATGTGAAAAGAGAAAGATTTTGCTAGAATCCTCCTCAAAGGTGTTCTTGAGGTTGCCAGACCAGCAACGTCAACATCAGCATCACCTGAGAACTTGTTAGAAATGCACATTCTCGGTCCCCACCCCAGGCTACCGAACCAGAAACCGAGCGGGGCCCAGCAGCCCGTGTCTTAACAGCCCTCCAGGTGATTCTGACTATCAAGTTTGAGAATCCAGTTGGGGCTAGCAGGAGTCCCCCCTCAGGTGGTCCCTGATGCCTGCTGGTGATATGGGTCTTGTGTGCTGCTGGGCTCAGCATAGTGCAGTTGGGGTGTGCTGATTGTGAGACAGGCACGTGTTCCCTCCGCGGAGAAGCCACTGAGACTGCCTTCCCTCATAAGCTGCGGCCTCCCCAACAAACAACTGCCAAGACATCAAAGAAAGTCTGTATGAAGCAGATCCAAATTATTAGCCTGCCCACCACTCCTTGTGCATCTCATCAGTGGAACCCATCTCTAGACCAAGGGCCCTTTGGGTGAAGAAGCAGCCCGGAAGGGAAAGAGAAAAGAGTAGAACCAAGGGACCTCCAGATGGGAGCGGCGGCCGGTGAGTAGTCTAGAGCCAGGGGCATTGTAGCAGCCTGGATACATGACCTGAACACGTCTTGACCTTTGCTTTCTACGTGTGGGTTTCAACACCCATGTGGCTTTTTCTTGTATTCTTTAAATATGTATCTGGCTTAGGATCACCTCATAGAAGAGAAAGAATTCACAGTGAAGCAGAAACAAGCCACTGACCAGCGTACTCCCAACCTGAACCTTCTTTTTCTCACCCTCTCCCTCAAGTAAACATCTTGCTGACTTGAGCAGTGTGATTGCCGTAGCAAAGCAGAGTGGCCCCCAGGGATCCCGCTCTGTTGGGCCCACAGGAGGAGCCGATGAAGCTGATCCAAGGAGTGAGGACAAGCGCTGCAGAGGGACGTTCGCTAAAAGCCTTCTAGGGGCCGCACATGCTCTAACACGGACATAAGGATGCCCTGAATTTCTGCAGCTGAGGCCATATAGTCTGGTGACCAAGTATTTGGGTCCTGGCTTCAGTCTTTGGTTGAAATGTCTGCTTGGCTACTTATTACCGCACCTACTACCAAAATATGACCTTGAGCAGTAACTTCTTTAAGCCTCAGTTTTTTCATCTGAAAACGGGAATGATAATCTAAATCACAAAGTTAATGGAAGGATTAAATGAGGGTGATGAATAGGAATGTATAGCGTCTGGCCCTGGTATGGCTTTATAAATGTTAGCTGTGTTGGAGCTGTGCTTTTCAAACCATTGGTCACAGCCATTCATGGTTTGCAACCAGCATGTTTTTCAAGAAAAATGTTTAATGCATTACATATTGCAGGATAAGTATTGTTTTATGAAGCTTAGGGAGTTGTGTGTATATGTGTTCTGGAATGCAACAGAAAAATGTTTCCTCTTGTGGGTTACAATATAGAGGTATGAAATCTCTGATGAGGAGAGACAGTGTTATCTGGCCCGCTATGAAGAGACACATTTGCATAGGCTGCTCCCTGAGGCTCTGGCTTTCTACATCTGATGATACAGGGAGCAGGGAACAGCCTGTTCTCGTTCTGTGGGGCTCAGCTGAGTCTGTTCTGCACAGACTCTTCCTTCCTCGGGAGCCTTAGTCCTAATACATTCATTTTGGAGTGTTGGTGAGTTTGTTCACAGATCACAGCTCATGTGTCACCCAGACTGACCTGGGCCAAAAGGCCCATCACACACCCTGCAAGAGCTTCTGGTGTCGACTATGACCCCCTTACCAGGCATCAACCATTTTTGTTCGTTCTCTTGAGCCTGAAGCTACTATTACTGCTCCTCTGCAAACCTCAAGCTTAAGAACTTTGCCTGCAGGATCCCTTTAAATCCACACAAAACTCAAAATTGAGTCCTACCAGGAAAAAGCAGCCCTCAGCCCATTTTTATACATCGGATTTGTTTGCAATATTTTCTTTCTAGACTCAAAAGTCAACACTCCCTGAAAGTTTGTCGACTTTACTGCTGAAGACCTCTGGTAGACAGGCCAGGCTCTGTCTGGAATACTTTATGAGGTTGGTGAGGAGGTTGAGTATAATCCAAGAGTGCCTATCTGGGAGCATGCCACATGAATGGCAAATAATCATCCTGTGGGCTCTTGGCTTCATTCCCCTTCTCTCTGACTGAGCTCAGCCTGGGCACAGTGGTGATTTGCAGTAGAACTGGAAACCTGTTGGGCAGAAAAAAAGACACTAGTTCTGGTTCCAGTTCTGATACATAACAAGCTAGATGAGCCTTGGCCACCGTCATGGCCTCTTGGAACTTCTGTTTCTTCCCCATCTGCCAATCATCAATACTCATACCCACCTCCTCACAAGGAGGCCATAAAAACCTATGGTCATGGCTTTGAGTCCAAGTCAGTGTGGATGCAGCCAGTCTGTCATTTTTGGGTGTTTCCTCTGTAGCCGGGTCTGCCATATGGTGATGTCCCAGCTCTCGTGCTATGAAGTTAAAGCCTCTTTCTCAACAGGCTGCAGATGATCACCCAGGAAGAGAATGCAGAATGCCCAAAGCAAACCATCTCAGCTGGTCACTGCTTCTGTGCCAAGAAGGGAGGCCTGGCGAGGGGCCAGTCAGGAAGCAGCATGGCATCACATGCTCATGACCCACATGAAGGTCCCTTTAGACTTGTGTCAACAAGATCCATTTTCTGAAACAACTATTTTTGTTCTGATTATAAAAGTAACATTGGCTCATTGGTAAAACTTGGATTGTGTGAGAAGTCTACAGAAATAAATACAAATCCTCTAGAATTCCATCCCCAAAAGTAACCACTCAGACAAATGTTCTAATGTCATGTAAAACCATATTAAACCATCTTTTCTAGCTGCATAGTGTTATAGAATCATTTGCTTAACCATCATTATTGGGCATTTCTCATTTCCAGCTTTGCATTATTATAATTCAGTGTTCAAGTTTGTATTGCATAAATCTTTGTCTCAGATTATTGATTATTTTTAAACTTTTTGTGAAATCAGACTTACAAAAATGTGACAAAAACAGTACAAAGAGTTCCCATGTACCTTTCAGTCAGTCTCACCAAAGGTAAACATTTTATACAACCATAATACAAATATAAAACCCTGGACATTGGCAACACCATACCCTTAACTAATGTATGTACCTTATTCACATTTCTCCAGTTGTCCCATTAACACCCTTTTCTGTTCCAGGATCCCACACTGCATCATTTGCGATGTCTCCTTAGTCTCCTCCAGTTTGTGACAGTTCCTCAGTCTTCCTTTGTCTTTCATGACCTTGACCCTTTTTAAAAATCGAGGTGAAATTCCTGTAACACAAAATTAGCCATTTTAAAGTGTACATTTAATGCATTCACAATGTTTTGTAACCACCAGGTCTGTCTGGTTCCAAAATCTTTTCATCAATCTTTGACCCTTTTGAAGATTGTAGGGCAGGTATTCTGTAGGCTGTCCTTCAGATTGTGTTTTTGATGTTTTTCTCATGATTAGATTGAGGTTAGGCATTTGGGGCAGGAGCACTGCTGAAGCAATGTGTCCTCGTTGCACCGTATCAGGAGGCATATGGTGTTGATACGTTTCATTATTGTGATGTTAACTTTGATCATTGGGTGAAGGTGGTACGTGCAATGTTTCTTCCCTGCTATTAAGGTACTGTTTTTCCCTTTGTAATTGATAAGTATCTTATGAGGATATACTTTTGAGATCCAATTTTTTTAACTTAGAATTTATTCAAAAGTCAAGAATCTTAAATCTCTGAAATGGCGTGGGAAGAAAAAGTGCTAGATACACAGAGATCTTTCTTGAGTCATGTGAAGGAGCAGTGCCCAAGCCCAGCAAACCCACAGCAAATTCCCTTGGCTTCCAGAAGAGATGGAGAAAGCAGTGCCCCCAGTGGAGGGTCAAAGGCCTCTGTGCAGGGTGTTGTGGGCCTGGAGAGCTGGCCTGGCCATGTCTTTACCTCCTCTGGGCATCTCCCCACCCCAACACCCTTTCTGTGGCCTGGTGGCTGAGTTGCAGCCGACACCCAGAGGCAGGTGAGTTGACAGCTTGGAAGAGGCTGCAGGGTGGATCTGCTGCATGAGCAGGCCTGAGCCCAGCCTTACCTCCCCACAGTGGTCCTGTGTGCCCTCCGGCTGCCTAATGCATGTTGGCACTTGCTGTACGAGCACCCGCTTCTTCACCTCGCATGCTGTTTGTGTCCTGCACTCCTTCCTTAACCCCATCGTCCTTCTGCTGTGTTTGCAGCCCCTATCTACCCTGGTGGGAGTGGCCAAAAATATTTAGGAGGGGATCACCAGTTTGTAGTGGCCTCAGAGGATGTGTGGTCCCCCTTATGCCTCAGCCACTCATCAGCCTAGCCCCTGCCCATCATCTGGCATTGCACTTGTGGAAGGAAAGAAGGGGAGGGCTGGGTGGTGGGTGGAGAACACGTCAGTCCACCAGGCGGGCCCTGCTTGCTGTGTTCCTCCACGCTGCTGTCCACCCACACCCCAGCAGTCCTCTGAGGGACCTCCCGGGGGTGACCTGGGCCACAACAGACTGCCCACTCAGACCCCATCTTACCCATGCCGTGGACACCCCGCCCCCCCCCCCGCCACTGCTATGCTATAGCTGGGGGTGTCTATGTGAGCTGTACAGCCCAGCACCACGCTGACGATGTTCTTCATCCCCTTCTCCCTGCAGGGCATCGAGCGCCTCAAACGAAAGAACCAGCCCAGGGAGCACATGGGGAGCTGGCAGTCAGTAAAGGAGACCTTTGGTGGGGACTTCTCCCTGAACTGGTTCAACCCCTTCTCCAGACCGTGTCAGCCAGAGATCCCCAGTGACAAAGACATGGTGCGGCAGGTGACATCGCTGTCAGACACCGAAACAATGGAGGATCCATCAGAGGAGACAAAGGACGAGGACTCTGTGGAGGTGACAGATGAATAGATGCTGCTGTGGGGAGAGAAGCAAACACTAAAAAGTGCTGTCAACCTTCATCCTGGGGTTTTGGCTAAAGGGGCTTATGGGCATGGTGCGCTCCCAGCACCCCCAGTGCTTCCCTTAGCCACTCGCTTGGCCTTGCCATTTCCCCTCCTTCTTCTCTCCATGTTGGGCCAGGTCTGGGGGTCGGGAGTAGGCTGGGGACATCAGAGGAGGATGGGGGCTTTCTCAGAGTTCATCTAAGAAGAGTCTGCACTGAGACGGCTCATCAAGAACCGTTCTCCAAGACTGGGTGGCTTTCACATTCTCCGCCCAGCAAAGGGAGCTTTTGAACAGGGCATCCCAGGGGCAGAAAAGAGCTTGCCTTTGGCTTTCCCCAGGATTTCTGTCTTCTCTTGGGAAGGCTGGGCCCCTGGCTCCTGGCTTTGAGAAGTAAGGTTGTGACAGAAGGACCGGGCAGGGCTTGCCTTGGGGACCTGGGTTGGGACACTGACATCAGGGGAGACTAGCCTGGAAAGACTGCAGAGCTGCCAGCTACTCCCTGGAAAGGGCTTCCCCATGCTGCCTGCCGAAATTAGGAGGTAGAGGTGGCTGCCACATCTACCTGCAAGGGCCAGGCATGGTTCAAAGAGGACCCTGCATTAAGCTCTACACACACATGTGCAGGACATGTCCAGCATGGACAGAGCCAGAGTTAAGACAGTAGCACCGAAAATGAGCCCCCATTCCACAGACACTGGAGTCTTCACTGAGCGAGACAGCTGGGAGCTGTCCTGCCTGTGGCTACATATCTAGCCATTCACAGATGTGGATATGGGAAGGACCTCTTTGGAGCTACTGGGGACTCCCTAACCACTCGCATGAGAACTTAATTGAATGTTACCTCTTGGAGGGAGTCTAATAACACATGTAGGTAGAACTGACCATAAACCCTGCCTGTGTGTTTGAAAAGGCCAGTTCTCCCAAATTGGTGCCCATCTTGTCTCTGAAAAGATGGGTGATGGCCAGGGTCTGCTGATTGATGAATCAGATGAATCAGGAAGATAGACAAACACACACACACACACACACACCCCACCAGGATGAGTCTGCCCTCTATTCACCCCATTTGAAGCCTGTGGTGTCTGTGACCACTGCTGAAGGTCTGAGCAGCGTTCTGGTGCTCCTAAACCCCATTCCAGTGGTTGCTGAAGCAGCATCTTCTGCACAAAGCCCAACAGAAGGGTTCTTATCCCCGTTTGGTATAAGAAGTGGATTCACCACCCACTCCCTCCACGTGCCTTTGTTCCTCTCTTTGGCCCATTTCCCCAGCGTCTACTGGCGTCAGGATTGGCAGGAGCACAGGCACTCAGCAGAGCATGCCCCTGCAAGACCTCAGTGTTAGGGCCCCCCTTCCAGCTCCAGGCAAAAGGGCATGAGTCCTGGCCCCAAGGGGCCTGTGGCTGCAGTTCAGAGGAGAAGAAGGTCAGTGTTTGGAGGTGCAGCCTCAGGATGCTGAGAAAGGAAACTGGCGACCGTGAGAAAGAAAAGAGCCAAGCAGCATCCTGGTTCTTGGACAGCATCTTTGGACACTCTGTGAAGGGCAACGATCCTGCCAGAGACCGTCTCTCTACAACTGATGACCCACTAGGGCCTGGGGTTAATTGCTCAAAGGGCCCAGTGTTCACAAAGCCACCTCTGCCCTAACCCTTGCCAGAGCTCTCCAACTATGACCCACGAGAGGGGTGATGGTGGGATTCTAACATCAACAGAGCAACCAGAAAGACATTGGGCCTCCCACACTCAGGCTGCAGGCCCACTTTCTTGGTCCTTATCAGCTTTAATATTTATTAATGACGACATAGGAGCCCGAGTCAGCTGTAAAGGCCATTAACTTGCAATCTGGACAGGAAGTTGACGCTCACCACTTTGGGTAAGAGCTGCTCTGACTGTAGGGCCCCCTATTTGTTGTCCTAACCCAGAAGCAGCTCTGGGCTGCCAGGATGGTGGATGGAATACCAGAGAGTTCACACTAGGGAGGAAGCAATGCCTGCCCCCTGGAGTCTCCTAGGGGGCAGCAGTTAGAATAAGGGAAGAGGATTTGCTGGTCACTGTTTGCTGACATGGGTTTCCATGGTGAGTTCAGGCCTGAGGACAGCAGTGTCTGCAAAACCACATGGCCCTTGAGAAATGTCCTTGCACATTGGGCTTCAAACTCCTCTTCTAGGGAATCCATCTTGGCCTGAAAGCAGAGGTACAACACCAGCCCCAAAGGCAATTCTGTTTTCAGATTGGTTGCTCTGGAAAGGAAGGCTGGGGTGAGGGGGCATTTTACTTGCACAGAGGCTGACCCTGCCTCCCCTCTTCACTGACCCCATCTCCAAGGTAGACCTCAGCCATGTCAGTCCCTGTTCTGGGAGGTGCTGGGCTGGGCCACAGCCAGGGTTATGTAGGTAATTAACCTGTCCAACCCTGAGCCTCGCCTCCCCACACCAGCAACACAGTGGTCTCTCTGTGGTGACCATTCACAGCATAACATTCTGCTTAGCCTCAGACTGAAAGCATTGCAACTGATGTCAAAACCAGATGAGATCTTACAGGGAGAGAGATTGGGTGCAATTTGCCTCTTTCTTTGAATAAAAAGCTCTTTGCTCACCCTCAGTGACTGGAGTCTCCTGTTTTAATTAAGAGATCCCAGCTCAAACCCTTGGGCAGTGTCCTTCCTTATGGGCCACCCTAAAGGCACCTCTAGGAAAGCTACTTTTCTTCCATTCCCAGTGTGGGAGACAAGTGAGTGTCATACGGCACCACACAGTGGCCGTGCCGGGCTATATCACCTCTTGGGATCGGACACTGTGCTGTGGAGTGACTGACCAAACTCTTGTTTGTGTCACCACCCTTGTGGTATTTCCAGCAGAAGGAACAGTCACCTTTCCTTCAATAAACATTTATTGAACACCTACTGTATGCCAGGGATGTGGGCAACTTGGGCAAGGGTGACCAGGATTGAGGTTTTTTTCACTTGGACAGCTGGAAAGGCAGAGGATGACAGGTATCCCACCCATGACTCTCCTGTGAATTAGACACAAAATAACCCTCATTCAAGCTACGTGCCTTTGCCAGGGTGTGTATCCAGTTGGGGTGACAGCCTTTGAGAGAGGGGTTGGATGTACTGAACAGACAATAAAGAAGCCAACTCCTCAGAGCACCTTGCCTGGGGAGATCAAAGGATTCCATGGCTCCCCAAGTGACTGCATAAACCGCCAGCACATTTAAGAAGCTTATTGGCATAAAGAAAAAAGGACTCAGGGACCACAGAGTTTTCTTGAAGTAGAGTTTAATTTAAAGCTTATTGATCATTTGAGCAAATCTCTGGAGGGCAGAACAAGAAGGAGCAGGCTTCAGTTAACAGAAGCAGCCTTGAGTTGCCAGGATAGTGGATGGAATACCAAAGAAAGAGTTCACACCAGGGAGGAAGCAATGCCTTCTCCCTGGAGTCTCCCAAGGGGCAGCTTTAGAATAAGGGAAGAGGATTTGCTGGTCACCGTTTGCTGACATGGGTCTCTATGGTGAGTTCAGGCCTGAGGACAGGGTTGTCTGCAAAACCACATGGCCCTTGAGAAATGTCCTTGCAGATTGGGCTTCAAACTGCTTGGAGCACCAGGAGAGGGACTTCCTGGATTTCAGGGATAGAGAGAGGAGAATGGAGGCAATAGGAGGAGAATGCACTTCTATCAGGCCCATCCCAGTGCTGAGAGAGCACTCCAGTTGACAGGTGCCTTCAGGGCTGGTGAACCCATGGCCTGAAGATATGGCAGCTTCTCAAGGGTCGTCAGCAGGTGGCAGCACTGGGCTGCCCATAGTCTGCTGCTCCAGGGAGAGACTCTGTGGCTTCGAAATCTATGGATTTGAATTGAGACAATGGTGGCCCTGATTTTTGAGGCCATGACTCAGGAAAGGGATGGGATTCTGTGGCCTCGGCTGGTGTTTCTAACTGTAAAAGAGGTGACCCTGTGATAGCACAGGACCTGGCCTTGTGGGTCTGGCTGCTTATGGTTGTGTTGGCCTTTTTGACCTGCTGGCTCTTGAATCTGCCCTCATATAAGTCATCAAATTTAATCATCCATAATCTGAAAGCTAAGCACAAGGTAGGAAATGCTGAAATCTCAACTAAGGCTCCACAGCATCAGACAAGGCTACTTGGTGATGAGAACAATCTTCTGAGCATTAATCTCTTTCACTTGTTTGGAACTTAACTTGACGATAAATTTCTTGGGTCCAGTTTTTATTGGGGTGCATTTTATTTGGGATTGGATGGTCTCACCAGGCTGCACCGTCCTGGAAAATTCAAAGACATACGGACATACAATCAGCCAAGGATGTTATGGGAAGAGGGAGAAGATGAGTTGGGTGAGAAGCCAGGAAACTGAGCCTTAGCTCAGCCTCTTTGAAAAGTCCTGGCCATTCCAGGGCATGGCACAGTGTACCTGCACCCTGGGTGCTGCTATCAGTTTTCTCAGATGTAAAGCAAGACGGGTGAACCAGCTGGTTTCCAGAAGCTCTTCCAACTCTGACATTTCACAAATCTTCCCTGGAGTCTTGCCTGACTTTACTACAGATGTTCTTGTTTCATGAGTATTAGCAACAGTCATCTATTACATAAAATCTAAGAGGAACATGTATTTTATGTTGAATCCACATGCAAGGAATTGGCTAGCCCCTCACTACTCAAAGTGTGTTCTGGGGCTTCGCAATACTAGCTGAGCTTGTAGGAAACACAGAATCTGAGGCTCCACCCTAAACCTGCTGAATCAGAATCTACACTGTAACAATACTCCCCAGGTAATTTGTGTGCACATTAAAATGTGATAAATCGTGGTCTAAGGAAAATAGGAGTCTACTCATTTTTACTTGGAAGATTCAGACATCCTGTAAGAAACAGACCATCAGAAACCTCTCAGAAACAAAACATTAGAGTTCAGTAAAGTTTTTTGCTGGATATATCAGCATGCCAAAAATCAATTTCCATATAGTCCAGCAAACAATTAGAAAATACAATGAAAAATATTCCATTCATAAAAGCTATAATATTGATGCATCTTGGAATTAACCCAACTAATAACGTGCAAGTGGTATATAAAGAAAACAATATAGCTTTTCTAAAGGTGATAAAAAAGACTGGAAAAAAATGGGAAAATCTCATATTCCTAGATGGCAAGACACAATATTGTCATTTGGCATAATTCTCCCCCAAATAAATAGGTAAATTCAATGCAGTATCAATCTAAATCCCAGCTGTTTTAAAATTATATGACAAGATGATTCTAAAAGTGCTATAGACAAAAATGGGGGTGGGGTGGGGATTTGCCTAATACATATCAATATGTAGATATGATAATCATATAAAATTATTATAGGACTACAATAATTTAAGTGGTATGATGTTATATTAGAAGAAGACAAATGAAATAGCAAATTAAAGAGTCCAGAGACCCAGATATATATGGGAATTGACAGCATAATAAAGGCAGTGCTACAAAGTACTAGGAAAACCACAGACAAAGTTGGAGCTCCACATCACTCCACACCCAAAAAAAATTCCAGATAAATACCTAATTGTGTAAATAAAGCTGGAAATTCTAGAAAAAGCATAAGAGAATATTTCTATGCACCTAGGATGACATGAAATTCAGTATCCGTAAAGGAAAAGATTGAAAAATTTGACTACATTAAAATTTAAAAGTTCTACTGGTGAAAGACATCTTAGTGTTTAAAAAAATACAAACTGTTCGGCCGGGCATGATGGCCCATGCCTGTAATCCCAGCACTTTGGGAGGCCAAGGCGGGCAGATCACCTGAGGTCAGGAGTTCAAGACCAGGCTGGCCAATATGGGGAAACCCCGTTTCTACTAAAAATACAAAAATTAGCCGGGTGTGGTGGCATATGCCTGTAATCCCAGCTACTCAGGAGGCCAAGGCAGGAGAATCACTTGAACCTGGGGACGGATGGAGATTGCAGTGAGCCAAGATCGTGTCACTGCACTCCAGCCTGGGCAACAAAGTGAGACTCCACCTCAAAATAAATAAGAATCAAATTTAAAAAATTGAATACAAAACTGCTATAAAAAAATTCACAGCACATAACACTCTACTGTGTAAAGACACCATACCAATATGAAAAAATAAATGACTCAGTAGAAAAATGGACAAAAGTTAGGAACAGGCAATTCACAGGAGAGAGTCAATTAATGTAAGAAATATTCAACCTCACAAATAATCAGATGCAAAGTAAAGCAATGAGATTACTTAACCACTAGATTGGCAAGAATCAAAAAGATCTGTCGGTAGAGCATAAATTGATGCAATCTTTTCTCAAAGTAATTTGGCACTAGCAAAATGTATCTACATTTTGACCCTGTGACCCCATACTGGGAATTCACTTCTCAGGAATATGCACACATGTGCAAGATATATGTCCAGAAGCATATTTCTAAGAATACCTCAGGCAGACTCACCCATGGTCAGAGGTCTGTAGTGAGGAGATGCCCAGGCTTTCCAAAGAGAACTTGACGTCAGTCAAAGGGATGGCCAGGGTATTCTTGAAGATACAATTGCAGACAAGTAGCTGGCCAATTCTGCCTGTGTTAGGCAACTGTAGTAGGGTGGGGAGGAGAGATGGGGAGAGAAGATATGCATGAGCCAACCAAGGACCCTCAGGGTTCTTAGGGGCCCCGTCACACTCCATGGCCAACTTCCAGGCAGAAGGAGCCCTTTATGGCCTGCAGGAAGCTCACCTCTATAGAGAACTCAGGGTACTGGAAAGACGTGAATACTTCAGAGGCCATGATTTCCTTAGACTCCACAATTTCCGCAATGATGAAACCTCTGATAACTGGCTCATCATCTAATATAGCCAGGCTGTTGATGTAGGTCTTGGAGTCCAAGGTCAGAGTCACTTCTGATACTGCCAAAGAGTCAGGGTGGAGGGGAGAGGTCATTCATCATACCCCCCCAGTATGAGTTCTCCTCATCAAGCACAGAATTAGATTAACTTTGTGTGAATTGAACTGGATAACTTTGGACATGTCCCATACTCTCTTTAGAAAACAAGACGTTGGGCTCAAGATGGAATAATAATTGGCCAAGTTCTCCAAGCTTACATCCTGAGTCCATGACAGACATTACCCGTTGTCATCAGGACATCCCACTTGTTCCCAACACTGTGCCTTGGGTACTCATAATCATTGATCTGACTGGGCATCTGAGATTAAAATTTCTGCCACCATAGAAGACTTCTCATGACACTTTCAGCACCCCTAATTTATAACTCTACGATAGACCCAGGCTCCTAGTCCAGTGGTCTCTTTGGCTCACTTTTCTTCTGTGGCTGGCTTTCTTGTGACTACCAAGGGGTAGGTGCTCAATAAATGTTTGTGTTAACTCACACACAAAAATTTATCAATGTATGGAAGTTGTCCACAGAGGAGAAGAGGGATTTCAGATTGTGGGACCCTGAGCCCACTTGAGGCCTCTCCTCCCTCTGGTTCTGGTACCTTGACCTTGGATCTGCGAGGTCTTATTGAGGTCACACAGTTTTGCCATCTTCTTGCCAGTGTACAACTGTAGTTCAAAGGAGCCCAAGATGTTGACATTCTGTAGGGCAGCGGTCTTCCTTTTAAGAATCACGGTGAAATTAACAGAGTTTCCCAGCAGCACATCATCTGATTGTACCGACATGTGAAGAAAGTTCTCTTTTACAGGTCGTCTGTGCTCCCTCTCAGAACTGAGAAGGAGGAAGGCATGATCCATGACCTGCCTCTCCTCAGAGGAGCCTGAAAGAGACACAAAGGCAGCTTCCTTCAGGTGCTCCTTCAAGGACCAAATGTCCCAACCACCCGTGTGGCAGAAGGAGACCATCTGCCTGGCCAGGACTCCAGAGACATCCCTGGAGCCCATGAGCTATAGATTCACACAGAGGATCATTCAAATCCCCATTCCTAAGCAATAGCACATTCTGACATCAGTGGGAATGGCAGAATAAAGACCTCCAAAAATCTGCTTCTCCATAAAAGCAATGAGAACATTGGCAAAAATTATCAAATCAACTTTTTCAGAATTCTTGAAATTAACTAAAGGCTTATAATAATCTAAGGAGCATTTATTCAAGAAAAACAGCACAATCTCAGTAAGAATAGTTTTGTGGCATTCTGATTCCCATCTCCCCTTCTTTCCAGCTCCAGAGTAGACTCAAAAACCACAGCACCAAATCACAGTGAAAACCAGCAGCCTAGCCACCTCTGGAGGGGACAGAATGGTTTTGGAGTTCCGCTAAAAGCTCCACTACCAGAGAATTGTTGTTAATTGACCTAAGGGCGATTCCCTGGAAACCCTCATTCACAGAGTTTGTCTTCATTGACCTGACTCAGAGCTCCCTCATTACCAACAGCCTTTTCCCTGGAGCATTTGTTAAGACAAACAACCTGCAGCAATTGTTTACAACTGCAGTTTCCTAAGGCAATAAGGAAAAGAAGGGAGTTGAGGGGAAAAGAAGCCGACCAAAAAGCTTAAAAGGAAAAGCTGAGGGACAAAATGTCCACGGGGGCTTTGAAAAGCTCAGACAGATTCCTGGAAATCTAGAAGGTCTGAGAAAGATCTGATAAGGCTCTCACCTCTAACTGACCTTGAGGCTCAAGCAAGAAGTGAAGGCAGAATTGTAAATTGCCTGCCAGAGCATTGAAATGTACCCTAACTTGTACACAGAGCCCCTTGCCAAAGGCTAGGAGTCTTAATGATTCAAGGAATTTAAAGCAATATCCATCTAATCATTAGCTGACCATTCAGCAAACTGAGCAGAGAATTCAGTGGTCATGGACAAGAAAGATTATAGAATTTCTGGAATTATATCAGAGAAGTTGTTAAACAAATAGCAACCACAAAAGCAACCCTGGGATGGGGGACAGGATCTGATTTCCAGAGTTGCCATATTATGTTCTTTAAAATGTCCAATTTTTAACAAAAAATTACAAGACATGCAAACAAACTATAGGCCATACATGGTGGTGTGGGGGTGGCAGGGTAGGAACATGGAAACAGTCAATAAAAACTGTCCCTAAGGAAGCCCTGACATTGAACCTACTAGACAAAGACTTTAAATTAGCTATTTTGAATATATTCAAAAAACTAAAAAAAAAGTGTGAGAACAAATGGCTTGCCAAATAGAGAATATCGAGAGAGATTAAAATTATTTTTAAAAAAGAACCAAATATAAATTCTGGAGTTGAAAAGTACAATAATAGCAGATTAGAGCTTGCAGGAAAATCAGCAAACTTGAAGACAGGTCATAAGATTATCTAGTCTGAGAGACAGAAAGGAAAAACAATGAGGAAGAGTGAACAGAGCCTCAGAGACCTGAGGGACACCATCAAGTGTAGCAGTTGACAGACACCACTGGTCTCCCTCTCTATCCTTTCCCTCCCTCCCTGATACTTCTGTCACCCTGCAAAAAAAACAAAAAACAAAAAACAAAAAAAACAAAAACAAAAAAAAACACTCCTGACCTAATTGCTTTTAATCAAGTTTGCTCATTTTCAACACAACCCTGAGGATAAGATTCTATTTCAGAGATAGCAGCTGTAAGACAGGAATTTCTGAGCTTGGTTACAAAGCTCTCCATCCACGTCCATTCTGAACACAAAGAGACTTCAAAGTGGAGAGCTCCAGTTTGTCCTGAGCTGCCTTGGTAGCCATCAATCACTTGCCTCATTTATATGGAAGAAATATTTACTGCAGGCCTACCTTGTACAAGGTTTTACACAAGCTCACAATCAACCCAGGGGTCCAAACTGACCTGCTTGTAACTATACTGCAATGGAGGGTGGGAAAAGCCCCAGCTGCATGGGTACCATCTGCCATCCCATAGCATAGCAAATTGCTCCCTCGTCTATGAGTCCTTACGATTTCCTGCCTTCCTCTTAATCACATCCCATCTTCAGTTTGCCCCTGTCTGGACTCTTGCACCCTTTGAGGATGCTATATGGAGTTGTCTTCCTTTCCTTACCACGTGGTACAGGAACCACAGCCAATGGGCCACAGGGGAAATACAAATCTGTCAGATTGAGGAACATCAAGAACAGAGGCAGCGTATGAGCCTGTGGATAGTAGAGATTGCAAAGGAGACAGTTCAGTTAGGGAAAGCATAAGCAGAGGTTTGGCCAGGGGTGAAAGTAGCCAGCATTTTCAGGTAACAGCAGGCAGCATGGCTAGGGGATGAACTTAAGCTCAGGAAGGGAGCCAGAGGCCAGCTCTGCAGGGGCCAGAAAGCCAGGCTGAGAAGATGTCTAATTTACTGGGCACTGGGGAGAACGGACAGTCTTAGCAAGGTGAATGAGCTGGTCAAACAATGCAAAGGCCTCAATTAGGATTTGTCTTTTTGTTTGTATGAGACAGGGTCTTGCTCTGTCACCCAGGCTGGAGTGCAGTGGCATGGTCATAGCTCACAGCAACCTCAACCTCCCTGGCTCAAGCAGTCCTCCCACCTTAGCCTCCTGAGTAGCTGGGACCACAGGCACATGCCACCACACCCAGCTAATTTTTTTTTTTTTTTTTTTTTTTGGTAGGGATGGGGTTTCACCATGTTGCCCAGGCCCACCCCCAATCTTGACTATTTTCATGTTCTGGGTGACTCAGGGGCTGAGTCAGAAGGAGCCCTGTGATGCTAGCACCTTCTGGATACTTGTACTCATAGGTGATATCTCTCCGCCTGTCTTGGCCCACTGCCTTGGTGCTGATGTTTTTCCCGATGCTTGTGGTCTCCATTGAAATTACGTGTAACTCCTCCTGCCCATTCACCATCTTCACCAACCAGATGAGCCTGTCACCATTCACTTCTGAGAAGACGAATCTGGTGTCATAGACAATAAAGATGTCACCTTTGCGGATGGCGGTCAGTGGTGATGGCCCACAGCAGAAGACACCTGAGGGGAAGCCAGGGGTGGTCACTCTCAGTGGGGTTCCCCAGCCCACCCAGCCTGGACCCAGTGGCAGCAATGATTCCCAAACTCAAACAGGACTGGCAAGCAAATTTTGCCCAAGAAGCATCTGGGTACTCATTTCCTAGGCCATCCTTAACTATTCTGAAAAGAGGGGCACATCTCAGCTTTGACTTGAAGAGTGTCAGGAATCCTCTGTCCCAGTAATAGGAAGTCATGCTGCCTATTAAACTCATCCCAGCACATCAGTCCCCAGTAGAGCACAGAGACACACAATCTGGGTCTGATTCCTGGCATCACACCTTGGAGCTATGTGACCTTGTGCAAGGCATTTCAGCTCTCTGTGGCTCCATTTCCTAGAAAACTGGGAATAAAAACAGCACTTACCTTCTAAGGCTATTGCGAAGATTAAATTAAATAATCCAGGCAAAGTACTTAGCCCTGTGCCTAAAACAAATGCAAGCTGTTGCTATGGATCTGGGCTAATAAGAACATTTCCATTCTAAGAGCTGTCTATTTATTTATTTATTTATTTTTCATTTTTGTTAAGAGCTGTCTTTTTATTTCTAGCATGGGGATAGAGAGTTCCCTTATTAGTCATTGACAACTTAATGAGAATTAGTCTCTTGACTGATAGTTCCTCAGTAGTAGCTTTGGTTTTTACATACCCTTGTATTCTGGGCATTGGGCTTTCTGCTTCCACTATTTTTATTTAATCCTCAACACACAGGCTCCTCTCCCTTGCCTCTTTAAGGCAGCCAAACCTGTGAATTCAGTGTATTGGAGGACTAGGACTCAGGAGAACTGGTCTCCTAATCTAATACTGGTTCTTCTCCTAACTTGTTGACTGAACCTGGGCATCCCCACCCTCCCTCTCTGGCCTTATCTATAAGGTGAGCAGGTTAGGTGGGCTTTTAAGGCCCCTTTTCTGGCCAGGGAACAGGGCTTCCTCTGCCTCTCAGGCAGATAGTGGCACTGCGCTACTCACTGCCTGGTTGCTATGGCTACTGTCCCACCTCAGCAAATGCTACTTAGACTCCCTGGATGGAAAGAGCCCTCAATACTGCCCTGCTGAGAATCTTCCTGCAGAGTATGCGGGGGTGTGGGCATATCACCTGCTCCTCCCACCTCTGGGGGCCACCTCCCACCACCCTCACCCCCTATTATAAGGGCAATGCCTTATCTTTGGAGAAATGTGGAGGCTGTTTTCACTTTTAACAGCATTTTTTTGCCTTCAGGGCCATGTGGGCTCACATTGCAGCTGGAGGAATCAGGAGTCTCACACTGATGGGTGGAGCCCGCAAAGTATGTTTAAATTGTAACCTGAATGCCTTTGGGGATCTGCATGCTCATGTCTCTAGGTCCCCATCTTCCCAAGTAGACAGCCCTGTTCACTCTCTGGCCCTGTGGGCAGATGAATTTGCTATCCTTGGGATGAGGCTCACAGCCAAACTAAGACTTATTCCTAGAAGAACCTTGAGAGACATCTACTTCAGGGGCTGCAGGAGTGAGGCAGAGATGTCAGGGAGGGGCCGGCTGGTCCCTGGGCACACTTCAGCTGGAGTAGTTCTGCTTTACATTATGAGGTGGCACACGAAGTTTCCTTCTGAGCAGTTGGACTGCTTTTTTCAAAAAAAAAAAAGTTTGAGGCTGGGTGCGGTGGTTCACACCTGTAATCCCGGCACTTTGGGAGGCCGAGACAAGCAGATCACCTGAGGTCAGGTGGTTGAGACAAGCCTGGCCAGCAGGGTGAAACCCTGTCTCTACTAAAAATACAAAAAATTAGTCAGGCATGGTGGCAGGCGCCTGTAATCCCAGCTACTCGGGAGGCTGAGGCAGGAGAATCACTTTAACCTGGGAGGCAGAGGTTGCAGTGAGCCAAGATTGCACCATTGCACTCCAGCCTGGGTAACAAGAGTGAAACTCCATCTCTAAATAAATAAATAAATAAAGGCCAGGCACAGTGGCTCATGCCTGTAATCCCAACACTTTGGGAGGCCAAGGGAGGTGGAGCACGTGAGGTCAGGAGTTTGAGACCAGCCTGACCAATATGGCAAAGTCCTGTCTCTACTAAAAATGTAAAAATTAGCCAGGCATGGTGGTGTGCACCTGTAGTCCCAGCTACTCAGGAGACTGAGACAGGAAAATTGCTTGAACCTGGGAGGCAGAGGTTGCAGTGAACCGAGATTACACCACTGCACTCCAGCCTGGGCAACAGTGAGATTCTGTCTCAAAATAAATAAACAAATAATTTTTTAAAATTTGAGAATTATTGAGCTAATCTATTTTCCCTTTACTGGGCTGACTTTGTCTTTAGTACTAGGACTCACTATTTAAAATAAAGATAACTTGATTCCACAGATTTTCCAAGTAACCTCAGACCAACCCCATGCCTCTGCTTCCCCAGCTGTACAAAGACACCCTTGTCCCCCGGCAAGGTCCTTCCAGCTACAAGGGGCCACTGTCTTACCCAGAAGTTGGTAACCCATAACCAGCTGAGATAAGCATCCCCATTATGTCTGACTTGGGCTGAATCCTGGTCCAGCCTTGTGGATCTGTGTGACCTCAGGCAACTCACTTCACCTCCCTGAGCCTCAGTTTCCTCATTTGTAAAATGACGATAATGACAACCTACTTTGAAAGGTTAGTTGTGAGTAAAATGGATCATGTAGGTACTGCGCATGGTATGCAGTAGGGAACCCTTAAGTGCCACCATCTCATTGCTCTTAACAGTACTGTCATTGGCATTATCTTCATAAAAATAGCCAGCAAACTGAAGCCCCTGCTCAGTGGGAATAGCAGGAAGGACTGAGCATGCTTTTTGTTTTGGGAAATTTTTATGAAAACTTTCCCCACCTGCTTGGCTGCATACCCAAGACCCACAGAACCCTGGGCCATGTAAGGAGAGCAGCATGGATGCCCAGCGCCTTCCTGCCACCCACTCACCCTGGCTTCGCTCCTGCGGCGTTGCGTCCACAGCCTGCCAGCCGTCGTAGCCCTTGGGCAGATCCGGTCGCTTCATCCAGGCATCCGTCCACACATGGAAATTCCTGCCGCAAATTGGGAACGGGCCCCACCCCGGACCACCCCCAAACCTAGTTAGAGATAAATACGCCAAAATTGCCAGAGACATCTTCATCACCGGGGACCCACTGAGGTTGTTCTCAGGGGTTTGGGAACCTTTGTCAACACTGGCAAGGAAGGGGCCACCGGTGAGTCCCACCTGCCTCTCAGAAAGCCTCCCAGGGCACAGAGTTGTGTGCAGGGGGCAGGGCTGGGGGAACCTCATGAGACCGTCACCCTGCCTATGGATTTCAAAGAGCCTGGGAGTCTTCACCACTAGAGATGGTGAACTCGAAGCAGAACTAAATCTTATCTGTCTTGACATCTGCAGTGTTTGAAGCATAACAGACACCTAATAAATTTTTCCTGGATGAATGGGTGAAATGCACTAGGCTGTGCAGTCACAGCCTAGTAAAAGATTACAACTGTTATTTCATTCATTCAATGAATGTATTCAATTCACTGGGATTCTGATTTGGTTGATCAGCAACTTTGTAACTGGCCAGTCTCTGAATTCTCATATTAAATCTTGCTATTTTTAAGTTGGTGCTCTTGGTTTTCTAGGTAGACAATTAACAGTCATTCCTCGGTATCCACAGGGTATTGGTTCCAGGACCCCTGAGTATACCCAAATCCATACACACTCAAGTCCTACAGTTGGCCCTGTGGAATGTGTATATAGGAAAAGCCAGATCTCAGTATAGGCAGGTTTCACCTCCCACAAATACACCTGTACTCAGTTGAAAAAATCTGCCTATGAGTGGACCTGCACAGTTCAAACCGATGCTGTTCAAGGGTCAACTGTATATCATCTACAAATAATACTGGTTAGTGCCTCCTTTCCAAAAGTTTCAAGTCTTTCTGTTTTTTCTCATCTTGGTACGTGAACTAGAACGTCTCAGCAGTATTTAAATAAAAGCTGTAAGGCTCCAACTTCAACTGAAATGCCTCGGGAATTTGTAATCATGCCCTGACCTTCCCACCTCGTCTACTCCCTCTGCAACTTCTCATTCTCCCTTTTCTATCTTGTGGTCAATTTTAGCTTGCAAGGGGCCCATGTGCTCTGGATCAGAGAACAAAGGAAATAAGCTTCATGCTGGCCAGTGGGTACTAGTTACATCAAAAGTTCTCAAACAGTGGTATATATCAGATCTCCTGGGCCAAGTGCTAACATGAACTTCAGACTCCTGGCCCTTCCCCTGTAGAGGCAAAAGCTCCAGTACAGGAATCTGCATTTTTTTTGTTTGTTTTTTGTTTTTGTTTTTGTTTTTTGAGAGGGAGTCTAGCTCTGTCACCAGGCTGGAGTGCAGTGGTGCGATCTCGGCTCACTGCAACCTCTGCCTCCCGGGTTCAAGTGATTCTCCTGCCTCAGCCTACCAAGTAGCTGGGATTACAGGCACGTGCCACTATGCCCAGCTAATTTTTGTATTTTTAGTAGAGATGGGGTTTCACCATGGCCAGGATGGTCACAATCTCCTGACCTCGTGATCCACCCACCTCAGCCTCCCAAAGTGCTGGGATTACAGGCATGTGCCACCATGCCTGGCCAAGAATCTGCATTTTTTAACAATCACCCCCAGGTGATTCCAGCACAGATTGTCCAAGGCCAAATGTTGAAAAATATTGAATTTCAGGAACAGTGAGCACTGGCCTACAACTTGAATCAGTCTCTGAGGGAGGCTGAAGGGGCCCCACAGCTCAGCAGAATCTCTGGGTTGGGAGGGCCTGGAGACTGGGCTTGGGCTAAAAAACTCCTGGGATGCCACGCATGGTGGCTTGCACCTGGAATCACAGCTACCTGGGAGGCTAAGGCAGGAGGACTGCTTGACACCAGTTCAAGACCAGCCTGGGCAAACTAGCGAGAGACCCTGTTTCTAAAAAGAAAAAAGAAAATTCCTGGGAGAAGGAGACAGGGCAGGTTGAGAAGGAGGAACCCTACCAGACAGAGTCGTGGGTCATACTGGTGATTTTCTCGCCATTCTCATTCACATAGGTGTCCACCGTGAGGTTCCTTTCTGTGTCGTGAGCTGAATCGAAGCCTGTCACACTGCGTGCTGGGATGCCCAACGCTCTCAGCACTGAAATGATCCAGGGTGGGGTGGTTGGCAACTGTGGGGGCTGGGAGTCCCTCCCTTGGGACCTCTCCCCTCAGCCCCTGGATCTGCCACTTACCTGTAGTCAGGATCCCAGCAAACACCCAGCACTGGCCAAAGCACACAGCCTGCTTCGTGTTGTAGTACTGCTGCAGGATCGGGGCACTGCCTGTCCACTTGTATGGGGCTGTGCCACCTTCGTAGTCCCCAGTCCAATTCCCAATGAGCACGCCCTGGCCTTTCTCAAAGCTCATCTGCCACACACGTAGGGGTGGGGTCAGTGTCCGCCCCTCAGAAGAACAAGGTGCTGCCAGCCCAGCTTGGCCACCCAGCCCCCAAAGTGGACACCTCATAATGTCTCAGAGTACTTGGAGGACGTGGGCTTTCCAGAACAGGTGGGGTGCCCAGAAGGGCCAAGGAGCATGCCAGCTGTTTGAGTGACCGGGGAGGATGCTCACTGCTGTATGCCTCAGTTTCCTCCCTTGTAAAATGATGATCATTACAACACCTACCTTTAGGTTGGTTTTGTTTGTTTTTTGAGAGAGGATCTTGCTCTGTAGCCCAGGCTGGAGTACAGTGGTGTGAGCTCGGCTCACTGCAGCCTCAACTTCCTGGGCTCAGGTGATCCTCCCACCTCAGCCACCCAGGTAATTGGGACTACAGGCGCACGCCACCACACTTGGTTAATTTTTGTAGTTTTTTGTAGAGGCAGGGTTTCACCATGTTGGCCAGGTTGGTTTCAAACTCCTGAGCTCAAGTAATCCAACTGTCTCAACCTCCCAAAGTGCTGGGATTACAGGTGTGAATCACTATGCCCGGTCCCTTTAGGTTGTTTTGAGGATGACCTGGGTTAAGCCTATGCCTGTTTTGGCATCTTCCGTTTTTAAATTGTCAGTGGCCTGCACCTCTCTTAACCCCTGAGGAGCCCTGGCCAGACGATCCTTTCCACCTTATTAAAACCAGAGAGAGGACAAAGCCTTGTGAGTTCACCTTTGAAAGCACTTAATGGAATCTCTAAAGAAGGTTGTACAGGCAGGTGCAGAGGAACCCTCCGAAAACATGAAAGGTGACACAGTCACAAATCTTTGATCTGGTGGTGGCCTGGCTTTGACCACATCCACCCATCCCCTCCTGGCCTGCACACTAACGTCCTTTGCAAACCTCATCATGCCTTGTGAAAAGCACAGTTACAGTGCCTCATGTTTCCCAGGATGTTAAAGATGTCCGTTTGTTTAACTAAAACCCTTATAGTATGCTACAATTTCTGAATCCTGTTTGGGAGTTTGTTCAGTTTTAATTTACAAGAAGTCTCAAACAATGGTGTGGCCTGGGCCTCCCGTGACCTCTCAGGTCCTGTGGCTGGACAAGCCTCTTCATTCATCAAAATCAGAGAGAGAGCAGAGGCCACCGCCAGACTCAAGAGTGGTCAGACGGAATGAAAACAGATGAAAGAGAGACAGGCAAAGGGTCCTAGGCAAAGCAGGAAATACCTCCCATCTTAACTGTCACCCAGCCACTGCCCTGGTCCGGCTGCTGCGTCCTCCTGCGAAATTAAGCGGCCCCAGCCTGTCAGCGCCTGCTAGACACAAGCCGTCTATAGAGCAATGTAGGGGAGGGCGGAGATAGGGAAAGAAGGGGAGTGACGCTGAGCCCAAAGGACATCAGGACTTTCAAAACTCCTGATGCACGAGGCTCTATCCCCCTGCGGAACAAAGCACATTTCTGTGCCCAGGCATGGTAGGCAGTCACCGAGATGGTCCCCAGTAATCCCCTCTCCTAGACCCAGTGACTCACTTCTAACCAACAGAATGCAGCAAAAGTGATGGCTGTCACTTCTGAAATGAGGTGACAAAGGCTGTGGCTTCCAGCCTGGGCACCCCCTCTCTTATTTGCTCACTCTGATGGAAGCTGGCTGCCATGCTATGAGCTGCCCTGACCTGAGGCTGCTCGCAGCTAGGTGAGTGAGCCTGGAAGTAGGTCCTCCCCCAGAGATCTTCAGCCAGAACATTCAGCTAAACCACACCTGGATTCCTGACCCACAGACATGGGAGATAATGGATGTTTGTTGTTTCAGCCACAGTGTCTTGGGGTAACTTATTACTTAGCAATGGATAATGAACGCACTCACTGCTGCGCCGAGGTTCCCTGCCTGGTGTGGGAGTCGTCTTTAGGCGACCCTGCCAGAAGCTCTGCCTGCTAGTCAGAAATTCACAGATCCAGGAGGCCCATGGATAGCCACGAATTTCTAAGGGTGAAGGGGCAACCTTTATAGGGAACCTGGAAAAGGGGAGGGCCTCTGAAGTGGGCTGGGGTTCTCAGACTCCCGAGCGTGGAAGCTAATCTGCAGTAACCTAATTTTGGAAGTGACTCCTGGAACACCTTGGAGTTCTGAATTGCCCATGCTTGCCTCACAGCCTGAGGAGGTGGCTGGCAGGGCACTAGGAAGGAGCACTGCACCAGGAGTCAGCACAGCTGGCTCAACCACCACTTCACTGTGCAGCCTTTGGCGAACTGCCCCTTCTCCCCCGGCTGGTTTCCTCATCACTGAAACAAGCAGCGGCTTAGCCCATTGCTTCCCAAACCCCACCACGCATAAGAATGACCTGGGAATAGGCTACTCGTGGGCCCAAAGCGTGTCAGACCCTGGGCTGGGCACTTGTTGTGTGTTATTGAGACCTCATAATCACCCAAAAGATGAGATAACAGAGGCCCAAAGAGGTTTAGAATCTTGTCCAGAGTCATGGAGCTTGAAAGGAGAAGCAGCCAGGTACGTGCCAGTCCACCTGCACCACTGAGAACTAGAGCCCCTCATGGCAAGTTCTGCCTGCTAATGACTTGGTCTCCTTTACTTGTTCTTTCTCAGCATCCAGCCTGGCCACCTGCTGGCCCCTGGGCTAGAGAATGAACATACCAGCATGGGGGTGAAGGGGAAAGAGCAGGCATGGTGGACTCCTGGGCCCCAGAGAGTCAGCGTGAGGGCCCCCGGTAATCCCATCAGCCCCTAAGGTGCAGGGGAACAGGAGCCCCAGCATTTATGAGGCATACCACGTGCAACAGACACAGGCTCACAGCCACTCTGCAAGGAGGGCATTTCAAGAGCCCCTACTTAAGATCCGTCTGTCGCAGCAGTTCAGCTCACAGACTCACCTGGAGATGAACATACGTCTGCCTGCCACCCACAGATGGCAAGAGCAGCCAGTTGGCTGAACTCAGTGGACCTTTGGAGAGTGGTCCTCACTGGCATTGGGAGATCCCTGGGAGTTCCAAGTTCTGTGATCAAAACTACTTGCATAATAATCCCAAGGTAATATTTGCCTTCTTCACTCTCATTCTCTCATAAGTGTACAAAGGATGAAAAATCGTGGTTTCAGATTCCACATTGCAACCAACTTTAAGAAACTGCCACTTACAGAGCTTCAGTATAGTATCTTCCATTATCTGAAAAGGCTATGGGAATATTCCTGCCCCCGCCCCGCTTCTTTTTTTTTTTTTTTTTTGAGACAGAGTCTCGCTCTGTCACCCAGGCTGGAGTACAGTGGTGCGATCTTGGCTCACTGCAACCTCTGCCTCTCGGGTTCAAGTGATTCTCCTGCCTCAGCCTCCCCAGTAGCTGGGACTACAGGTGTGTGCCACCACACCCAGCTAATTTTTTGTATTTTTAGTAGAGATGGGGTTTCACCATGTTAGCCAGGATGGTCTCGATCTCCTGACCTCGTGATCTGCCTGCCTCGGCCTCCCAAAGTGCTGGGATTACAGGCCTGAGCCACCACGCCCGGCCGTCCTCTGCCTTTTTAAATCTACGTATCCGTGTGAGGCCAGATGTTCATATATTCCAACTAAAACAATGAATGCAGAAGCAGATATGAAATTCCAGCTGACTTCTAGCAAGCCAGACATTAAAGAGATTTGCAAAAATGGAAAACAATGCCACTCTTCTCACTACATATTTTATGCTTCGAAAAACATAGGTTTTTAAAAATAAAAATACGTTATTTATGTTAACATGTAATGGAATTATTCTTTTAGAATAAATAGTTTTAACCTTTTCAGTTTTAATTTCTAATACAGTAAATATTGGTAAATATAAACCATATAAATACAACTTATTTGGGGTCCTTAATAATTTTTAAAAGTGCAAAGAGGTCTTGAAACCAAAATATTTGAGAACTGCCACTCTGAACAAACTGACTTCCAAGTGGCCAGGCAGAATAGAGTGACCAACCATCCTGTTTGCCCAAGACTGAGGGGTTTCCTGGAACACAGTATTCTTAGTGCTAAAACCAGAAAAGTCCCAAGTGAACTGCAACAGTTTGCTCACCCAACTGGAGCCCAGCTTGCAGGTAGAAAGAGGACCTTCTGTATTAATATCATTTTGCAGATGGGGGAAACTGAGGCTCAGACAGTTGAAGCCATTTACACCTAACGTCAGCCCATAAGTGGCAGGGCTGGAGTTCAGACTCAGGTCTGACTTGAAAGCCGGGCGCGGTGGCCCACGCCTGTAATCCCAGCACTTTGGGAGTCCGAGGCGGGTGGATCACGAGGTCAGGAGTTCAAGACCAGCCTGGCCAAGATGGTGAAACCCCGTCTCTACTAAAAATACAAAAAATTAGCCGGGCGTGGTGGCATGTGCCTGTAATCCCAGCTACTCCGGAGGCTGAGGCAGAGAATTGCTTAAAACCTGGATGGGTGGAGGTTGCAGTGAGCCAAGATCGTGCCACTGCACTCCAGCCAGGGTGACAGAATGAGACTCTGTCTCAAAAAAAAAAAAAAAAAAAAAGAAAAGAAAACCTGCGCTCAGAACAGATTTCAGCAATGTCTATTTCTTAATAGTTTTGAACAATTGATTGGCCATAGCACAGTGGTGTACTTCAAAGAGCTTACAGTTTAGATGAGGAAAAACAGAAAAAGGCTGAGCAATTGGCAAGTACAAGACAGCATCAGCCCAGGCTTTCCATACCTACCATAGCACACATGGCCCTGCACACCAGCACGGGGTCCCTCCTATCTGTGGGCTTGAGGGAGCTCTCAGTCAGCAGGGAAATGCAGCAGTCCAGGACATTTTTCTCAAACTATTTTGGGAAATGAAGAAAGAGGCAGTTAAGACTTTGCCCTGTGTCAGAAACTTAACACATACCATCTAATTTGCATGTCACAGCCACCCTGTAGCGTAACCCATCTCCCCTGCCTACAGTCTCATAAAAAAGTCCACCACAGCACTGAAAATTAGAAACCATTTAAATGTCCTGCCACAGGACAGTAGTTAAGTAAGTTTATAGAGCTCTAGCATGCAGCCACTAAAAGGAAGTATAAGAAGTTTTTAATACCATGGGGAAAATTCCTTTGTAATCAAGTCAAATAAATGAAACAGGCCGGGTGCGGTGGCTCACGCCTGTAATCCCAACACTTTGGGAGGCCGAGGCAGGTGGATCACCTGAGGTCGGATGCTCAAGACCAGCCTGACCAACATGGAGAAACCCTGTCTCTACTAAAAATACAAAATTAGCCGGGCGTGGTGGTGCATGCCTGTAATCCCAGCTACTCGGGAAGCTGAGTCAGGAGAATCGCTTGAACTCAGGAGGCGGAGGTTGCAGTGAGCCAAGATCGTGCCATTGCACTCCAGCCTGGGCAACAAGAGCAAAACTCTGTCTCAAAAAAATAATAATAATAAAAATAAATAAATAAATGAATAAATGAAACAGGCTACAAAATTGTGAACAAATAGCATTACAACTATGTAAGCCTTAGTAATAGATAATAGAATAAAATACACTAAAATGTTAAGTCATTATCACTGAGGGAGGAGGTTATGAATAATTTTATTTTCTTTCCACATTTCTGTGTTTCCTAAGTCTTTTGTGATAAGCACGTTACTTTTGAAATTCTATTTACTGTAAGCCACTTTATCAAGATATCATTTATATCTCATAAAATTTACCATCTAAACTGGATGATTCAATCTGTAATTATCCATAAATATCTGTATATTTACAGAGTTGAAGTACATGTGTTACTTTTGTAACCTGAGGGAAAAACTACCAAAATAAAAGGAATAGACCACAATGTTTATGTTCCAGAAGGAGTCTGGGGGAGTTTTGTGGTTACAATTCTTTGAGATTCTTTTTATTTTTATTTTATTTTTTATTTTTTTGAGAGAGGGTACAGTACAGTGGCACAATCACTGCTCACTGAAGCCTTAGCCTTCTGGACTCAAGTGATCCACCCACCTCCCTCTCCAACTGCAGTCCCCCCTCCCCACAGCTCTGCCTGGGACTATAGGCATGCATCACCATGCCCAGCTAATTTGTTTATTTTTTATAGAGACCAGGTCTCCCTATGTTGCCCAGGCTGGCCTTGAACTCCTGGCCTCAAGCCATCCTCCCACCTTGGCCTCCCAAAGTGCTGAGATTACAGGTGTGAGCCTCCATACCCAGTCACTCTTTGGGCTTCTTAAAATCACCGCTTGATTTTCTTTTTTTCTTTTTCAAGATGGAGTCTCACTCTGTCGCTCAGGCTGGAGTACAGTGGCGCCATCTCGGCTCACTGCAACCTCCGTCTCCCGGGTTCAAGTGATTCTCCTGCCTCAGCCTCCCAAGTAGCTGGGATTACAGGCACGTGCCACCACGCCTGGCTAATGTTTTGTATTTTTAGTAGAGACGGGGTTTCACTGTGTTAGCCAGGATGATCTCGATCTCCGGGCCTCATGATCTGCCTGCTTCGGCCTCCCAAAGTGCTGGGATTACAGGTGTGAGCCACCGTGCCCGGCCCACCCCTTGATTTTCTAAGAGGGGAAACTCCCTAGGATTCAGGTGATTCCTTCTTCCCTACCCCTCCTGCGGTTCGTTTGGCTGTCTCCTTGCCAGCTACTCCCTTCCATTTCATTTCCCTCTGGTCCTCATGTGTGAGGAGAGGATGCTGAGGGCCTTCTAGGAATGAGTGAGGGTGGAGAGGGCACTCGGCGCACCTTGCACAGAGCACACAGTGGGAGCCTCGCCAGCTGGGAGTCCTTCCTCCCTTGTCCCTACTTCCATCCTGTCCTAGGCGTCCAGACCCAGGGGGAGGAGGAGAAACTCAAGCAGCTGTGAAATGCCTGGCATTTCCCAGGAGTTTTTTGTTGTCAAATCTTGGGGGAGGGGAGGTGGGAAGCATCTGGTGTCTGGCATCCTCACACCCCAGCTTCTCTGCCTCATGGCTGCACGAAGGCATTGGCCCTCCACTCAGCAGAGGCCTCCACACAAGTCTCTAAAAAACTCTCCCTCTTCTTTAGAGCTCTTTGTCAAGGCCAACATTCTAATTGTAACAGTGCTTCCTTGTAACAGTGCTTCCTTGTAACAGTGCTTGGTTCTTTGGTAAATACACTGGGAGGTAGGGGGTGGGAGAGAGCTGTTTGGCATGAGAGAGAGCCATGGGGGTGGGAGAGAGCCGTGGCGGGGTGGGGGGTATGGGAGATAGCCATGGGGGGTGGGAGAGAGCTGTGGCGGGGGTGGGTGGGGGAGAGAGCCGTTGGGGTTGGGAGAGAGCCATGGGGGGTGGAAGAGAGCCATGGGGGGTGGGAGAGAGCCATGGGGGGTGGGAGAGAGCCATGGGGGGTGGGAGAGAGCCATGGGGGATGGGAGAGAGCCGTGGTGGGGGTGGGTGGGGGAGAGAGCTGTTGGGGTTGGGAGAGAGCCGTGGGGGGTGGAAGAGAGCCATGGGAGGTGGGAGAGGGCCAAGGGGGGTGGAAGAGAGCCATGGTGGGGAGAGAGTCAAGGGGGGTGGGAGAGAGCCGTGGGGGGTGGGAGAGAGCCGAGGGGGGTGGGAGAGAGCCATGGGGGGTAGGAGAGAGCTGTGGGGGGTGGGAGAGAGCCGTGGGGTGGATGGGAAAGGCCATGGGTGACCTTTGTGGAAGGGCTTCTGCCCAGGACTCCACCCCATCTGTGCAGCCTAGGCAGGTCACCCCTCTATGGCCAAGTTTTACATGTATGAGGCTGGCGTTTGACCCGAGGTTCACAACCCTTTCTCCAGAACCTTTACTGACTACTACCCAGCTAAAAGGGTGGTCTAGCAGATGGGGCCTGGTGCAGCCACAAGACGACAAATCATTACCTGACCAAAGTTCCAGGGTTTGCATTTGATACTTCTGGCAGCCCCCACGTAATGGCAGCCCGTGTCATTGAGGATGTACTCTTTGCGCTCGTCCTCATCAGGCATGAAAACCATGTCCTCTGAAGCAAGACCACACATCCACAGAGGTTATATTCTGCCCTGGGACAGGAGCAGGCTTGCCAATGGGGACTGTCTGTGCTGGGGGAGATTCAAGGTCTTTGTGAGGGGCTTGGAACACCCAATGTTGGGGGAGGGAGGTAAGCGGGAGGGAAAGTATCCAAAAGAACTTCCCGAGCCAGCTGTAGGGGACTTCCCCTGGGAAAATCTGGAGCAATTTAAGCATGAGTTAAGAAAAGGATGAATCATAAACCACTGAAAAGAAAGAGAGAGTCCATGAGTCCATACAGATGGAAGAGAGAGGTAGATGGGAGTGAAGGGAGGACTCTGCCTACAGGAAATGCCAGGGGCTAGCAGGTAAACATGGTGGAGAGCTGGCCTTGGAAAATCACTGTGCAACCATCACAGTGAAGAATGGTTGAAGCAAGAACCATCAGTGGATGCTAAATCTAGGGGTGGAGAATTTTAATAAGGATCAGGATGTTTGGATGGTCTTAAAATGTGTCCACATAGACTACTCGTTAAAAAGAAAAAGATAGTAATTATATAGCAGAAAAACTGGACAACACCTTGACCAAATGATCACATTTAACATTCCCAATGAGGGGCAGGCAGTGCCTCCAGATATGATTTTCCAAGAAGGACATGTCGTTTACATAATATCCAGCAAGGACTGCGTAACCTGAATCTAAAGATGATGAATCATCAGACAGACCCAAATGATGAATGATCTGTTAAAAAAGGGGACTTCTAGTCCTCAAAAATATGTCAAAAAAGACAAAGAAAGATAAAGAAATTGTTCCAGATTAAAGGAGGTAAACATAACTACATGCAAAATGTGACTCTAGATTGGATCCTGTACTGGAGGGAAAACAATGCTATAAAGTACATGATAAAATCAAGTGACCGGCTGGGTGCGGTGCCTCATGCCTATAATCCCAGCACTTTGGGAGGCCAAGCCAGGTAGATCACCTGAGGTCAGGAGTTCGAGACCAGCCTGACCAACATGGCGAAACCCTGTCTCTACTAAAAATACAAAAATTAGCTGGGTGTGGTGGCATGTGCCTGTAATCCCAGCTACTTGGGAGGCTGAGGCAGAAGAATTGCTTGAACCCAGGAGGCAGAGGCTGCAGCGAGCCAAGATCGCACCATTGCGCCATTGCACTCCAGCCTGGGCGACAAGAGTGAAACTCCGTCTCAAAAAAAAAAAAAAAAATTAAAAAAAAAGTGACCAAACTGGAATATAGATAGTAGATGAAAGTGTTATGCTAACACTTATTTTTTTAATTATTTATTTTTATTTATTTATTTATTTATTTTTGAGACAGAGTCTCGCTCTGTCACCCAGGCTGGAGTGCAGTGGCGTGATCTCAGCTCACTACAACCTCCACCTCCCAGGTTCAAGCGATTCTCCTGCCTCAGCCTCCCAAGTAGCTGGGATTACAGGTGCATGCCACCAGGCCCAGCTAATTTTTTGTATTTTTAGTAGAAACAGGGTTTCACCATGTTATCCAGGATGGTCTTGATCTCCTGACCCTGTGTTCCGCCTGCCTTGGCCTCCCAAAGTGCTGGGATTACAGGCATGAGCCACCGCGCCTGGCCTATTTTTTTTTTTCCTTTTTTGAGACAGAGCTGGAGTGCAGTGGTGCAATCTCGGCTCACTGCAAGTTCTGCCTCCCGGGTTCACGCCATTCTCCTGTCTCAGCCTCCCTAGTAGCTGAGAATATAGGCGCCCGCCACCATGCCCGGCTAATTTTTTTGTATTTTTAGTAGAGATGGGGTTTCACCGTGTTAGCCAGGATGGTCTCGATCTCCCAACCTCGTGATGCGCCCACCTCGGCCTCCCAAAGTGCTGTGATTACAGGCGTGAGCCACCACGCCTGGCTGCTAACACTTAATTTACTGAAGTTGATAACTGTACTGTGGTTATATGAGAGAATATCCCTGTTCTTAGGGAATACACATTGAAGGGTTTAGGGGTTGTAAAGAACCAACTTATATGTAACTTACTCTCAAATGGTTCAAAAATAAAAAGCTTGTGTGTGTGTGTGTGTGTGTGTGTGTGTAGAGGAGGGAGGGAGGGAAAATGATTAAGCAAATGGAGCAAAATGTTAACAACAGGTGAGCCTGGATGATAAAGGGTATAGGTTGTTCATTACATCATTTTTGCCACTTTTCTGTGAGCTCAAAATCATTTCCAAATACAAGTTAAAAAAAAAGAGCTCCTTGGCTTCTAGCATGGGTACCTGATGGCTTTTGACTTCAAGAAGGCCCCAGGAGAGAGGGCAGGTGTGGAAAGGGTTGACATAGAATGTGCCGCATTTGAGGCTGCAAGAAGATGTCCAGCACCCTCTGGAGAGAAGCCAGTGCTGGTAATGGCAGAAGTAGCCTCAAGCACCATTTACATAAAGGCTCCAGTGTAGCCACAGGAAGAAATGAGGTGGGTACATGAGGAAGTGGAGAGAAGAGAACAGAACTAAGGGAGCAGAAGGGAGGAACCAACCACAATTCAGGCCCTGACCTGGAGCTGGCAAGGAAGAAGTCCTTGGTGGCCCCTCCCCACCCCCACGAAGGCAGCCTCTGTACAGTGGTGGAGGCAGAAGCCAGCTGGGGCAGGGCGAGGCACTGGGGAGAAGTGGAAACAGGGAATAAGGACCTCCATTCTAAGGGGCCTGGTCACAAAGAAAACGCTCCATTGGTGTCTGTGATCTGTTCCTGGGTCACATCCCTTAAACTAGTTTGCAAGTACCTTGAGAGCAAACAAAAGCTCATAGACTATGCATTGCACATAGCAGGTTTTGCCGGGGTCACCTGCCATTCCCCAGCAGACCTGAGATTCACAGTACCTTTACACCATGGGTTGAAGAGAAGGTATAGGATGTTTTCTTCAGACTTAAGGATGTGGTTTCCAGTTTTCACGTTTAGTTGGTACTTGCCCAGGATGGCATTGGGGGAACTGGTGACAGCCACTGTGACCTGAGCAAACCATAAGATAAGGTGGACATCTCCCCCTCTGGCCAGATCCCAAATCTTACAAATGCTTCCCAGAAGAATCCGTCAGTCCTAACAACTCATCCCATCTGGAACCAGCCTGGAGACAAGGAATGGTCAGGACCCTGGACAGCCAGGAGCGCCCCTGCAAGGGCAGGATGCATGAGACAGAAAAGCAGCTCCATACAGCATGAAGTTTTGGCACGTCTTGCAAGGGCCCTGGAGAGACTGGGCATTTTCACCTCCCTGAGATTCACTCCCTTCACCACTTGCTTCACCACAGCCTGGAGGTGATACCATCTCCAGGTTGTTGGGAAGATGCTGTGGATAAAGTACGCATAAGGTGCTGACATGGCTGGCTCTGTGTCCCCACTCGAATCTCGTCTCGTATTGTAATCCCCATAATCCCCACATGTTGAGTGAGGGACCTGGTGGGAGGTGATTGAATCATGGGGGCAGTTTCCCCCATGCTGTTCTCATGATAGTCAGTGAGTGCTCATGAGCTCTGATGGTTTTATAAGGCAGTTTCCCCTGCTCTTTCTCGCTCTCTCTCACCTGCTACCATGTAAAATGTGCCTACTTCCTCTTCTGCCATGATTGTAAGTTTCCTGAGGTGTCCCCAGCCATGTGGAACTGTGAGTCAATTAAACTTCTTTCCTTTATAAATTACCCAGTCTCAGGTATTCTTTAGAGTAGTAGAGTAGTACAAGAATGGACTAATACAGGTGCCTAGCCCAGTGTCTGGAACTTCAGGGGAAAGGTTAAATGTCAGCTGTCTTTTGGAGCAAAAAAAAACACCTTTCTCTTGGAATACAGGCAGCCAGAGTCCCAGAAGGCCATTGGTCCAAGGGCGTCCAGGCCTCTATCCAGCCTTTTAGGATAAATAATAGCTGGAGAGATAATTAGGATACATCAATATTGCTGTAGCCACAATGGTACCAAGAATAATAATTCTCATCCTTGTCACAATACACTTCCATTTGTGGTCCAAGGTCCTCCCATGAGATGCTTATTATTATAACTCATAGGAGCAATAGGCTCTCAGTTCAAATCCCAGCTCTACTCTTCCCCCTTTTTTTTGAGACAGAGTCCTTCTCTCTCACCCAGGCTGGAGTGCAACTGGCTTCTAGCATGGGCATCTGATGGCTTTTGACTTCAGGAAGGCCCCAGGAGAAAGGGCAGGTGTGGAAAAGGGTTGACATAGGATGTGCCACATTTGAGGCTGCAAGATGTCCAGCACCCTCTGGAGAGAAGCTGGTGCTGGCGATGGCAGAAGTAGCCTTGAGTGCCATTGCAGCATTGAACTCCTGGGGTCAAGTGATTCTCCCACCTAAGCCTCCCAACTAGCTGGAACTACACGTGCCCACCATCACTCCTGGCTAATTTTTTTTTTTTTTTTTTTTTTTTTTTTTTTTTTAGTAGAGATGGGGTAGCCCTGTGTTGCCCAGGCTGGCCAGCTCTACCTCTTACTGGCTGTATGACCTTGGCTGATTACTTAACCTCTCCTGTGCCTCAGTTTTCTTGTTTAAAAGTTTGGAATGATAACAGGCCCCCTTCTTTGTGGGAGCATTGTGAAAATTAAATGAGCTAATAAATATAAATGTTTAATTGTCATTATTTTGCTGGTGGGGAAACTGAGGTTCACAGAGGTAGCCCAAGAGGTGGAGCTGGGATCAAACTCACTGTGCTACAACTCCAGAATCCACAAGGCTAACTCCCCATACCCCTCTTGTGGCAAGAGGGAGGAGGTTGTGCCCTCACTGTTCATTACAATGGAGCTCAGGAGAACCAGCCTTCCAGGGTGCAGGAAATGGCCTCCACCTTGATCTGGCTGGTGGTCCCACAGCTGTATTCATATGTAAAAATTCATTGTGCAAACCATTAAGATTTGTGTCCTTTATGTGTGTTATATGTCAATTAAAAAAAATTAAAAATAACACTTTTTGAGTAAAGAAATGCAGCTCCTGCCCACAACCCATGCCCACCTCAGGAGAGATTTTCATGATACCCTGAAAAACACTCAGATGCAAAATTGGGGTTGAGAGTCTGGGATCTGGATGGGAGGGAGAGGAAGGAAGAGGCCGGGGCACTAGCGAGGATTCCAGCAGCAGCTGGCCCATTCATCTCATTTCCACCAGCAGATTCTGCTTCCACAAAAACCCAATGTAGTTGCCATTTTTAAATCATGGCATTAGCTTAGCATTAAACTTCTAGGAATTTAGCCCAAGGAAATATCCATAAACCAGTCCAAAGATCTGGCCGAGACATGGTTCTTTACAACACTGGAAGATTGGAGACAACTGTGAACACCCAGTGCTCCCAAAAAGGGTGGAAAACCAGCCACCGTAAGCCACACACTCGGGCAGAAGCCACTGTGGAAAACATCCATTAGGTCTTGTCAAGTGAGTGAAGCATGAGATGGACCCCCATTTTGTATTTGACCATGACACAGAAAAAGCCTGGAAGGAAGGATGGGTAACTTAGTTGGTGGAACCATGGGTTATTTTTATGTACTTCTCTCCGCTCATGTCCTCCAGTGAACATTGTTCCCTTTGAAATGGAAAGGGGAAGGGTGACATGTAGGAGGTTTGGCCACAGCGATACTGTGTGCTTGGAGGAGGCTGAGTGGGGAAACAGACATTTGGAGCCATGGCCCCTCTATCATGCTGTGCTGTGGATGGCTTTAAACCATGTTACCAGCTGACAGGTGAGGAAGGGGATAGGGGCTGCTCACATTAGGAGCATTCCGCCAGAAGCCAGCCAGCCCACCCGCCAGCCCAGTGGGTGCTCACCTCTTTGCCAGACTCATTTTGAAGGGTTGCCTGCCAGTTGTAGTGGTCTGAGGGCGTCCTCGGGTCGAGCACCACCAGGGTGTGTTTGGCGATGCTAGGATTCGGCCCTGGAGACACCCAAAGGAAAACATTGGCCCAGCCATGGGCCACCCCCAAGACAATCTCCTCTGGTTCGGGCCCACCTACTGCCCACTCATGGAGCCCCCACCCCTCCTTTCCAGGCTCATTTGTCCCCTGGCTCCAGCCCCTCTAATTCTGCAGGGGCCTCCTTCTGCCCCACATGTCCAGTTTTAGTTTTCTGTTCAATTTAGATGAGCTTCCTGCCTCCTCTCCACGTCCTCCCTTTTTACCCATCAGATCCAGGTCTCCCTAGAGCTCCTGCCTCTGTCACATGCTCATTCGAGTTACCATTTGTTTAACCCTGCTGGCTCGTGCCACAGACCAACATGCTTGTTCACTCCACGCAATGCAGGGGAACTGCTTAACCTTCACTCCTCGTCTGGAGGAGGCAGATGCCACCGCCTACCCTGCAAGCTGTTGCAGGATCTTGTTTGAAAGGTCGGTCAGTTTATGTCATGAGCTCCAGGGACTACTAGAATCAAATCCAACCTCTTTCCATAGCCCACAGGTGGCCCTCAGTGAGGCTTCTCCCCAGCTCCCCACTTTCCTCCCTGTCATGACTGGGTTTCTGGTCCCCAGAGAGTTAGCTCATGACAAAGAGCATGTGACACAAGTGTTGTCTCCTCAGGGCCCTGGCACTTGCCGTGCTCATGGCTGGGAACACCCTGCTCTCAGCTCTTCACATGGTGGGACGTGGGTCTCAGCAGGGTCACTTCCCAGGGAAGCCCTTCCAACCCTGACAGAGTCAGCACCGACAGAGTCAGCCCCGCCCTGACCTGCTGCTTTCTGTCTTGCTGGAGGAGCCTCTTGTTTTTGGTTTCTTCATCATATCTGGCCCTGTCTGAAATTATCTTGCACTTTTGTTTGTTTACTGCTCTCTCTGCTAGTACAGTCAAGTCTAGGAGGCAGGAACTGCTTTACCTCTGGGTTCCCTGGCACAGAGTAGGTACTCAACAAATATTTGTTGAGTGAGTGATTCACACTATGTCATACATGGAGAGTGCTCAGTGCAACACCTGGCATGTGGCAAGTACTCAGGAAATTTTGGGTGAGGGAATGCACATGGACCCAGGGGTACTATAAAGTCACTGAAGTCAGCAACAGCACGGTCCCAGTCCATGCGTTGAGCAGGTAGCTCATGGCATGGCACACAGTAGGTGCTTATTTCATCTTGGATGAAGGGAATGGAGGCTGTTCTGACTGATCTCCACCAGCACGTTGGAGGAGACCCTAAGCCTGTTGTTCACTCAGAGAAGGAGCAAAAGGAGCGCTCTCCCAGGAAGTGCTATTGTATGCCATCTTGTAAAGTAGATCTACCTGATCTAATTTTTTTTTGAGACGGAGTTTCACTCTTGTCGCCAGGATGAAGTGCAATGACACTATCTTGCCTCCCTGCAACCTCCACCTCCCAGGTTCAAGCAATTCTACCTCAGCCTCCCGAATAGCTGGGATTACAGGCACCTGCCACTATGCCCAGCTAATTTTTGTATTTTTAGTAGAGACAGGGTTTCACCATGTTGGCCAGGTTGATCTCGAACTCCTGACCTCAGGTGATCTGCCTGCCTCGGCCTCCCAAAATGCTGGGATTACAGGCATGAGCTGCCATGCCCAGCTTACTTGATCTATTTTTAAAACTTAAAAACAACATTAAAGAAGTAAGACCCTCCTCCATTATCCCACCACCTGTCACAAAATCTAATACATTTTCTCTCTTCCCCTAGTTGTACTTATGCACATATATTTACCTAGCTATAACAAATGCATGAGCCATTTCCTATTATCTTTGCAACCAAAATATGATATTTTAATCATTATTATTGGCTTGCCTCCAGCCCACCCCGCTATGGCATCAGCATACCTCAGTCCTATGATTCATCTCTACAAAATGTTCCAGACCCCACCACGGCAGATGCCCGCTGAGTCACCTCCTCTCTCTGCTCTGGCCCCTCCCCTGCTTAGCCAAGGAATCAGAGCCTCACTATGTGCCAGGTCCTGACTGAGCTTCCCATTCTATTCTCTTCACACCCGCTATTATTCCCACATTACAGATGGAGAAACTGGGGATCAGGGAGGGTAAGGCACTCCTGGCTCAGACTGACCAGAAAGGGCCACTCCAGCATCCACAGACACTTGTGATCCCTCCCCAAAGCCCCATGAGTAGGGCCCCGAGGCTTCACCTGTGCTGAATTCCAGTTTCAGTTGGTGGTAGGATTGTAGGGGCTGGTTCAGCACCAGCCGCAGGTGAAACACCTGTCCTCGCCGGAACACAGGACTGCTCGTTTGGAACTCCCATGTGTGGTGAGAAACGGCGTTGTCCTGATTCAAGAAGTCAATGTGGAGAACTTGCAGCTCTGTCAGCAACGCAGCACATGTGGAAAGAGAGCACAGAGAATGTTTATTCCCTGATCACCTCTTTCTGGGTTCAAAATCTGAGAGTGCATTGAGGTGGAGCTGGGCTTTAGAGTCGGGCATCCCTGCTCCACCTCCAGCTGGTTATGAATCTGTCTGAGACTCAGTTTCTTCACCTGTAAGACTGGTGTGCACATACCTACCTTGTGGGATTACATGGGGATGAGCTGAGAGCAGTGGACTCAAGTGCTTAGTCATGTAACCCCGCAAAATAGGTAAGTGCACGCCCATCTTACAGGTGAGGAAACTGAGTTTCAAACAGGGTGAGTCTGTGAGTGGCTGTTAGGCAAGTTTCCCACCCCAACTCCCCCTCTCTGCAGACATGGCCTCAGGAACAAACCTGGTGCCAGGGTGTTCTCCGTCAATCAACACAAAAGCTGAAGGGAAAGAGGGGAGCGGGCAAACTGAGGAGGGAACAGATGAGCCCTGGGATTGCTCCCCTTCCTGTTCAGCCCAGACTCCCATCAGCTTCAAGTCAGACACCATCCTGAGGTGAGAGTTCACATCCTGAAGAGAAGGGTGGGGTGCAAAGTGGCTGGGGTGAAGCCTTTTTATCCAAATTGAGGAGGAAGCACCAAGGAGCTCCCATGATCTGAGGCCAAGACTACTTGCATTATAAATGGGATTTTTAAGGCCAGGTGCAGTGGTTCACGCCTCTAATCCCAGCACTTTGGGAGGCTGTGGGGGCGGCGCATCACCTGAGATCAGGAGCCGAGATCAAGCCACTGCACTCCAGAATGGGTGACAGAGTGAGACTCCATCCCCCCCAAAAAAAACAGGGGATTTTTTTCTTCAATGCTAAAGTGAAAAGTACATTCAGTAAAAGAAATAATCTCCACATGCATAATACACCCTTTTCTGTAGCACATGTATTTCTCACCATGTGTCTGTTATAATGACATTTCGTATTACCTCAGCTTGAGACCCAAACCCCTCCCCTTTATCTAAAATTCAAACCATTCCCAGGCTCATGAGTCATGAAGGGAAATGTGTTTTGGCTGCATGCTGAAACCACCTGGGGGTTGTAAAACTACTTATGTTCTCCCCCAGCGATTCTGATACAATTGTTCTGAGTGGGGCTGAGCCTCTATGTTTTCAAAGCTTTCCAGGCAATTCGAGTGTGCAGAGGGCATGGTAAAACACAGACTGCCAGACCCACCCTGAGTTTCTGATTCAGCACATCTGGGGTGTGGCTGAGAATTTGCCTCTCCAGCAGCTTCCTTGATGACGCTGTGCTGCTGGCCCAGGGAGGCACATATGGAGAACCCCTAGATTAGGAAGCCCCGCTGTGGCCTGTGAGGTAAAGTGAGGTGAGATGCAGGGACCTTCCTCTGCTCCTGAGGGCTCACCCACAGAGGAAACCCATCCTCTGCAGAGATCAAGGAGGCCAGCCATGGAAACTGGGCTTTCATGACTACAAAATAGGTGGAGTGGTCACGCCCACATCAGATGCCTACCTTGGGGATGCGGCCAGTGATGTGTTTGGAGACAGCACAGCTCATTCTTGCTGGAGTGGCTTTGGGATTGGGGTCTGGACAAGTGTTCTCCAGGAAGGCAAGTCCCAGCAAGTGGCCTTCCCTTCACACTGCGCACAGGGCCTGGGAACCTGCTGCCTCCAGCAGGGAGGCCCACCTGGCAGACAGACCTACCTTCCCAGGTGCTTCCCCTTCTTGGGCTGAAACCTTGGGGTGGGCCGATGGCTAGCTGGAGCATCTTAGCCCATTTGTGCCACTGTTATGGAATACCTGAGACTGGGTCATTTAGAAAGAATAGAAATTTATTTCTCACAGTTCTGGAGGCTGGGAAGTCCAAGATCAAGGCACTAGCATCTGGTGAGGGCCTCTTGCTGCATTGTAACATAGCAGAAGGCAGAGGGCGAGAGAGGACCAACTCCCTCCTTCAGGTCCCTTTAGAGGGGCACCTCATCTCATTCACAGGGAAGAAGCCCTTATCACCTAATCAACTCTTAAAGGCCCCACCTCTTAGTATCACCACATTGGCAACCCCTGAATTTTAGGGGGAGACATATTCAAACCATAGCATGCTGTCAGGAGCTGCAATCCTGAAAGGCTTCTTCATTTCCCTGGACAGCAGAGCTCCTGCTGTGGGACCCAGAGCCAATCGCAAAGCAATCACAGCTGGAAAAGGGCTTTAACAGTCCCTCCCATGTTCTGACTTATTCCTGCTCCCCCATGGACTGGGCAGGTGGGTGACCTGGGTTCCCAAGGGGTAAAGGTATAGGTTTTGGTACCAGGAAGCAGGAAAGAGCAGTTAAGAAATCCAAATCCTAAATGCAGTCATCTCTGTGGAAGCTTCTTAAGACCTTATCTCCCTGGAATGGTAAACATAGTCCCTCCCTTGGTGGCTAGTGTGCACATTGAGTGCCTGGCACATGCCTGGCACACAGTAGGCACTCGACAAAATGCAGGCCATCATTAATGTTAGGCAGATGGGCATATAGTGGGTTGAATGGTGGTCCCACAGAAGATATCTCCACCTGGAGCCTATGAATGTGACCTTATAGAAATAGGGGATTTTCAGGTGTGATTAAGGATCTTGTGATTATATTATCCTGGATTATCCAGGTAGGACCTAAATCCAAGAATAAGTGTCCTTATAAGAGACATGGAAAGGCAAGGGGAGGGTCATGTGAAGATGGAGGCAGAGACTGGAGTTACACAGCTGCAAGCCACAGAACACCTGGAGCCACCAGAAACCAAGAAAGACAAGGGAAGATTCTCCACTGGAGGCTTCTGCAAGAGCAGGACCCTGCGGACATTTTGATTTTGGATGTCTATCTTCCAGAACGAGAGAATAATAAATTGCTGTTGTTTTAAGCAGCCTCATTTGTGGTCATTTGAATGCCCTAAGAAACCAACATACAGCACATAACAGATGGCCAGTACTGGAGCCTCCTCCCTCACCCTCTCCTGGGCACTGCTCTGTGACCTGAGCACTGCTTAAGGCAGATCTGGGAGGCTGGAGGAATCCTGGAACTACAGGAAGCCACACTGGGGCTGTCTTTAAAAAAATGCCTTTGGAGTCACATACCTGTAATCCCGGTTACTCGGGAGACTGAGGTGGGAGAATCACTTGAGCCCAGGAGTTTGAGGCTGCAGTGAGCTATGATTGCAGCTGTGAATAGCCACAACACGCCAGCCTGGGCAACAAAGTGAGACCTCAACTCTAAAAAAAAAAAAAAAAAAAAAGCGTTTGTATTTTTATTTTGTAGCTATTGCACTTGGATAGATGGTCAAAATTGATATACCAGTTTAATGCTTGCAGTGTCATAAATGCAAGATGACCAGGGAAACCTGCAAAGAAAAAGTGTCAGTGGAATACAATGTCCTTGTTTCTTGCCACCAATGTGTGGGTTGGAGTTTAAATTATTTGAGTATTAAAAAACAAAAGTCTCTGCAATGGATAATTTTTGCTATAACTTTTGCCTATGAAGCCTCTGGAAAAAAGGAGACAACATAAAAGACAAGCAATCTCCAGATGGCGATATACTTTTGGAGTTTTAAAAAGCAAAGTTGCTTTTAAACTAAAATTAGCATTAGTTGCTAATGAGCTCTTGTGAAATTGTCAGCCTTAGAAGCTTATGATTTTCCAGTCTGTATGTATATTTTTGAGTGGGTCAAGTGGGACTCTTGAAATGACAAGAAAAAACGCACTTAAGAGGATCTTGGTGACTTTATAAGAAGAGGAAGACCTGAGCTTACCATGTGATGCCCAGCACCACCTTGGGACTCCTCAGGGAGTCCTCGCTAGGAAGAAGGCCCTCACCAGATGCAGCTCCTCGACCTTGGAGTCTCAGCCTCCATAACTGTAATAAATGAATTTCTTTTCTTTATAAATTACCTGAGTTTTAGGTATTCTTTTATAAGCAACAGAAAATAAACTAATACAATTTCCTTCTCCTTCCTTCTGGTAAGGCAGTTTGATTATTAAATACAGCTTTCCCCAGAAAGGGACTGACCTTTTCTAGGCTGCTCAATGAATAAATGATCAGGACAAAAAATAGTGAGAGGTTATTTAAGATTACTTTGATTTTTTTTTTTTTAATACAGGGCCTTGCTCTGTCACCCAGGCTGGAGTGCCGTGGTGTGAACACGGCTCACTGCAGCCACAACCTCCTGAGCTCAAGGGATCCTCCCACTTCAGCCTCCAGAGTAGCTGGGACTACAGGTGTGCACCATAGTGCACTTCATAGTGGTGATGAAGTCTTACTATGTTGCCCAGGCTGGTCTCAAACTCCTGAATTCAAGCGATCCTCCTGCCTCAGCCTCCAAAAATGTTGGAATTACAGACACGAGCCACCACACCCGAACTACCATTTTGAAAATTTTTGAAAATTCAGGATTTTGTCCTGACCAATTCCAGAATATGATGTGTTATTCTGGTTAGGTTGTATTAAAATATTTTTCTGTAAAAATGCTTTTGTCCCTCTTGCAAACAACCATTCCAGATGAAAGGTCTGGGTGAGAATAAGAGATTACTAAAAACAAAAAGAAAATAAAGTTATGATTGCTGAATGAATGAGATACACAGAGAAAAAACATGTCACAACTAATTGCTAAAGGAATTAAACACATCCTGTGTGACACTGGAGAGGACTCTTGGAAGACCTGCCTAGCTCCCTCAGGACCTCACCCCAGCAGGCTTTTCCCTTTGCTGATTTTTCTTTGTACTTTTTGCCACAAGAAATCACATTCCCCCACCCCCCAGTGTCCATATTGCTGCCTGAGTCTACTGCCACCTGCCAGCAGGCACTCCTGGAGAGTCTCCTTCCCAGAGTGCTTGTGGGAGCACAGCCCCTGCAGAATGCATACCGGTTATGAAAAATTTCAAACATCACCTCTTTCTGTAGAGGTCTGGGATTCCCCCATACTGAGAAAGTAAAATAAACAGTTGTCCTTGGCTCATAGGCAGAAACTGGCTCCTAGTCACAGTTGTCACTGGTTTAGGGGATAAACGCCAATCTTCTTTGGAGTAATTCATTCTCCACCAAAGTTTTATGGCATTCCCACAGATAAAGTCACACTCAAGGTGAGCTTATAGCCCCAAATTTTAAAACACAAAATACACTATTTCAGCAGAAACCACACAAGTATTCGTCCAAGAAATCAGATAATATACAGACTATAAAATAACGTATATAGACTATGGACCAGGCACAGTGGCTCACGCCTATGATCCCAACACTTTGGGAGGCTGAGGCAGGGGGATCCCTTGAGCCCAGGAGTTCAAGATCAGCCTGGGCAACATAGAGAAACCCTGTCTTTAAAAAAAAATTATTTAATTAACTGAGAATGGTGATGTGCACATGCAGTCTCAGCTACTTGGGAGGCTGAGGCAAGAGTATCTCTTGGGCCTGGGAGGTCAAGGCTGCAGTGAGCCATGTTCACACCACTACACTACAGCCTGGGTGACAGGGTGAGACCTTATTTCAAAAAATAATAAATAAAATAAAATATTAAAAAATATAGGGCCGGGCACAGTGGCTCATGCCTGTAATCCCAGCACTTTGGGAGGCAGAAGTGGGCAGATCACCTGAGGTCAGGAGTTCGAGACCAGCCTGACCAACACGGTGAAACCCCGTCTCTACTAAAAATACAAAATCAAAATTAGCCGGATGTGGTGGCAGGCGCCTGTAGTCCCAGCTACTTGGGAGGCTGAGTCGGGAGAATGGCGTGAACCTGGGAGGCAGAGCTTGCAGTGAGCCGAGATTGCGCCACTGCACTCCAGCCTGGGCGACAGAGTGAGACTCTGTCTCAAAAAAAAAAAAAAAAATTAGCCAGGCTTGGTGGCACATGCCTGTAATCCCAGCTACTCGAGAGGCTGAGGCAGAAGAATTGCTTGAACCGGGGAGGCAGAGGTTGCAGTGAGCCGAGATCACGCCATGGCACTCTAGCCTGGGCAATAAGAGTGAAACTCCATCTCAAAAATAAATAAATAAATTAATTAAATTAAATAAACTATATATATATATATATATATAGAGAGAGAGAGAGAGAGAGAGAGAGAGACCATAAAATAGCCAAGTCAAAAATGGCTAGGGACCTAAGAGAATAAATCAGAATGATGAGAAAGGAATAAGCCACTATTAAGAATGACCAGATAAATTTTTTAAAACATAACTTCTAAAAATGAAAATATGGTTCTCAAAATGAAAAAAACTCACAGGTTAAACAGCAAATAGACATAACTGAAAGAGAATCAGTGAACTAGAAAATAGACTGGAAACAAATACCTATAATACAACCTAGAGAAATATTAATAGAAGTAAATATGAAAAGCAGTTTAGAGACGCGGAGTCTTGGATGAAAAGGGCTAAACTATATACTATAGTTGTTCTGAAAGGAGAGAATCAAGAATGGGGAGCAGCAGCGAAGAGGTGATGGTTGAAAACTTTCCAAAATGAATGAGAGACATGAATCCTCTTATTTAGGAACCACAAAGAATCACAAATAGGATAAAGAAGAGGCCAGGCGCAGCGGCTCACGCCTGTAATCCCAGCATTTTGGGAGGCCAGGACAGGCGGATCACTTGAGGCCAGGAGTTCATGACCAGCCTGGCCAACATGGTGAAACCCCATCTCTACTAAAAATAAAAAATTAGCTGGGTAATGTGGCGCATGCCTGTAATCCCAGCTATTCAGGAGGCTGAGGTAGGAGAATCGCTTGAACCTGGGAACTGGAGGCTGCAGTGAACCGAGATCACGTCACTGTGCTCCAGCCTGGGTGACAGAGTGAGACCTCATCTCAAATAATAATAATAATAATAATAATAATAATAATAATAATAATAATAATAAAACAAAAGTAATAAATGCCCATTACAAAAATTAAGTTTCTCTCCCATCCCAGACTCCCAGATCCTTTCTCCAGAGAAAATCACTATAAAGTATCTAGGTATCTTTCCAGTTTTCTCTGCCATAAACCATTACTTTAGTTACAGAAACAGGAGCTTTCTCAATACACTATTCTGCGCCTTGCTTCTCTCTCTCTCTCTCTTTTTCTCCCTCTCTCTCTCACACACATGTCTTGAAATTTATCTCCTAACCACCCAAGTAGATCTTGTTATTATTTTCTTTTAATTTTTTTTTCTTTTTTTGAGACAGAGTCTCATTCTGTTTCCCAGGCTGGAGTGCAATGGTGTGATCACAGCTCACTGCAGCCTCGACCTCCTGGGCTGAAGCAATCCTCTCACCTCATCCTCCTGAGTAGCTGGCACTACAGGCATGCATCACCACACCCAGCTAATTTTTTCATTTTTTGTGAAGAAGGGGTCTCCTTATGTTGCCCAGGCTGGTCTCAACCTTGTTACTTTTTAGTAGCTATTATCCCCCTGGATGGACATGTAGACCATTTAAAATCTTATATGCTACAATGTACTTCCTTGTACATGTATCTTTGCACTCATGTGTGACAATATTTGTAAGAGAAATCTTCCAAAGCAGAATTGCTGTGTCACAGGATATGGGCATCTTTAATTTCAGCAAATGTTGCCAGAGAGCCTTCTAGCGACTGCACCAGTGATACTCCTACAAAAAGATGAGAAGATGCCTTTTTAAAGCTATTTACTATTAAACTTTTAATCTTGGCTAATCTGATAAATGAAAAAATGAAATCTCATTGCTGTTTTGCTTTTATATAACCTTTTTTTTTTTTAAGAGACAGAGTCTTGGCCTGTCACCCAGGCTGAAGTGCAGTGTTGCAATCATGGCTCACTGCAGCCTTGAACCTGAGTAGCTGAGTAGCTGGAACTACCGATATGCACCACCATGTCTGGCTAATTTTTATTTTTATTTATTTATTTATTTTTGAGACAAAGTCTCGCTCTGTTGCCCAGACTGGAGTGCAGTCTCAGCTCACTGCAGCCTCCGCCTCCCAGGTTCAAGCAATTCTCATGCCTCAGTCACCCAAGTAGCTGGGATTACCGGTGTACCCCACCACACCCGGCTAATTTTTGTATTTTTTAGTAGAGACGGGGTTTCACCATGATGGCCAGGCTTGTCCCTAACTTCTGATCTCAAGTGATCTGCCCACCTTGGCTTCCCAAAGTGCTGGGATTACAGGCATGAGCCACCTTGCTGGGCCACGGCTAATTTTTAAATTGTTTTGTGGAGACAGGGTCTCACTATGTTTTCCAGGCTGGTCTCGAACTCCTGGGCTCAAGCAATCCTCCTACCTCAGCCTCCCAAATTTTGGGGATTATAGGCATGAACCACCATACCTGGCCTGCTGTTTCAGTTTTATTTCATGACCACCCTCGTTACAAGTAAGGTTGAGCATCTTTTCATATATTACAATTTATATTTCTTTTTCTTTGAACTACCTAATACTGCTCTTTGTCCATGTATATTTTGGGATGTTGGTCATTTTCTTATAGATCTGAGAGCTCTTTTTATACTACAGAACAGCATTTGCTTCTCATATGTGTTGAAAGTACCCTTCACAGTTCCATTACCTTCTGACTCTGGAGGTTTTGTCTTACACATATTTTTAATTTTTCTGGAGTCAGTTTTACTGTTCTTTTCCTTTATGTTTCTAGGTTTTCTATTTTCCTTTGTAACACCTTCTCTACTCTAAGATTATTTTTCATATTGCCTTCATTTTCTTCTATTGCCTTTACAGTTTCGTCTTCGACCTTTCTGGGATTCGTTGTGGGATAAGCCATGAGATAGATATCTGGCTTTGTTTTTCTCTAAATACTAACCAGTTGTCCTAATACCATAAAGTGCACAATTTCTCATTTCCTCCATTTATATGAAATCCTACCTTTATCCCACACATATCACCATCTTCCAGGTCCCTATTTGGATGTCCTGACCTCCTAGAGTGGTTGGAAGAACAAATGAAATCATATTCATGAAAACACCATGGAGTCATCACAACTTGCTAATGTTGTAAGGTGGCATGTGATGGTTACTTGCACAAGCCCATCAGAAAGGACACCTCAGGGAGCGTCAGCTCCCCTCACCAACACCCCAACACTGGTGGCCAGGAGATGACTGTCTTTGGTGATTTAGACCTTGAGAGTAAAGTCAAATTGTGCCCAGCAGGGAGGCAGCATAGTGTGGCATGAAATGAACACACGCCGGGTTTGTGTCCCAGCTCTGCCACCCATGGCTGGGACCTCAGTCAAGTCATCAAACCTCCCCAGTGAACAGGTCACACCTCTTGAAAATGACAGTGTGGGTCAGGACTACCTTTCCTTCAGGTAGTCCTCAGTAATTTATATAGTGCTTTCACGGGATTGATGTAACCTGCCCAAAGCCACAGGGCTATTTAGACATGAATCTTCTCTCAAATCAGCAGGTGCTTCCCATCACACCACACCACCCTTTCTCAGTCCTAAGGACTCTGTACCCTCCAAGACTGAGTCTAGCTGAGGCGTCAGCCATCTAAGGAGGAATTCAAAACTCTGTGGCCTTGGGACTAAAAAGAAGAGTCTGATTTATTTCGCAATGTCACCCTCCAAAAAAGAAGGTGGAAACTAGGAGGGTCTGGCTTAGTCCCTTTGCAGAGTTTCAAAGCAGCCATTCCTTGGCTTATCAAGCAGCTTCTCAAGCAAGAGAGAAGGCTGCTGAGCAAACCCTGCTGGGAGGTTACAGAGGGCTTGTGGGCTGGGGAGTCAGCAGAGGGGTTCAAACCCAGCCTCGTTGTTCCCTAGCAGCACCCGGACTCCCTGAAGTAAAACTGAGGGCTCTGGTGTCTGCTCTTGGTGGTGGTAGGCGGCTGCATCCTCATGGGACACAGAGCCTGGCACATGACTCCGCTCTGCTATTCCCCACTCTGAGAAGCAATGACACTGCTGACAGCAGCAGACAGACCCTCTGCAGTAGGGAAATCCATCAGGTGACCTTGAGAAAGGACAGGACACATTGAGAGACATTCTACAAAATAACTGGTCTGTACTCTTCAAAAGTGTTGAAGTCACAAAACTCCAAGAATGACAGAAGAACTATTCCAGACAAAGGAGACCGAAGAGGCACAACAACGGAATGCAAAGCCTAACCCAGGATTTTCTTCTGCTATAAATGACATTATTGGGACAGTTGATGAAATCTGCATAAAATCTGTGGGTTGGATAACAGTATTGAAATGGTGTTCATGTCCTGGTCTTCATAATTGTATTGGTTACGTAAGAGAATGTCCTTGTCTTTAGGAAATACACACCAAAATATTTAATAATGTAATATCTGCAACTTACTCTCAAGAGTTCAAAAAATATATATTTGTCTATCTATCTGTCTATATCATCTATCTGTCCACTGATCGAGAAGGATAAAGCAAATGCAGTAATAATTTAGGGAATCTGGATAAAGGATATATGGAAATTCTTCTTTTTATTCTTGCAATCTTTTTGTAAATCTGAAATTATGCCTAAATGAAAAGTTTGTGGGTTTTCTAAAAAGGGATGAGACAGAAAGCAAGCAGCACCAGGGCCACAAGTCAGGGTGAGAGGGCAATGGCCCCAGGCACCCGGCAGAGGCAAGAGAGCAGTTTAGGGCCAGCTGGCTGAAGGGGCATGTGGGGCTCCATGGAGATTTCACCCACTCACCTTTTGATGCATCCATCATCCCTTCAGATTCTCTCCTGCAATGCCAGGGAAGACTCTATCTCTGATGCCTGGTGCTTCCACACAGTCGGTCCTCAGGGGAGGAAACAGCCCTTTTTATGTGATCCTGGGCTAGATGTGGCCTTGCTATGGCTGCCAAGGGGCGGGGTTTGGGAAGGCGATGTTGATTAGAAATAATAAAATCCCGGAATCTTCCATATCAGACCCAGGAAATCAGGAGCCAAGATGAGCTGATGTAAAAGGGACAGACAACGGACAATGGCACCTCCTTGTCTGTTATATGAGCCTAACAGTGGGTGACCAAAAGCCAGGACCCTATGACCTACACCACATGTGGCCTGACATTCTGGTTACTATCAAGCTTAAGTCTAGGAACCCAGGCTAACCTTTACTGACTTTAGGGTTTTCTTCTTCTTCTCTTTTCTTCAAGTTGAAAAAGTAAGAGATGCTTGTGAGTTTTTTGTTTTACATTTTGAATATATAATGCATCCACATGGTTCAAAATGGAAAAAAATGCCCCCTGTCCACCTTGTTGAATCCTACTACCAGTTTCTTTTAGATCTTTCCAGAGATGTTGTATGCACTGAGAAGCAAATAATGTACTATTATTATTATTTTGTTATTTAGTTTTTATTTCATAATCATAAACTTAACTCTGCAATCCAGCTAGGCATGGAAGGGAACAAGGAAAACATGGAACCCAAAGGGAACCGCAGCGAGAGCACAAAGATTCTAGGATACTGGGAGCAAATGGGGTGGAGGGTGCTCCCCTGAGCTACAGAAGGAATGGTCTGGTGGTTAAGATAAAACACAAGTCAAACTTATAAGAGCTGTCCACAGTCAGCAATGGTGATCTTCTGGCCGGTCTTGCCATTCCTGGACACAAAGCACTCCATGGCCTCCACAATATTCATGCCTTCACCTTGCCAAAGACCACAAGCTTGCCATCCAACCACTCAGTCTTGGCAGTGCAGATTAAAAACTGGGAACCATTTGTATTGGGTCCAGCATTTGCCATGGACAACATGCCAGGACCTGTATGCTTTAGGATGAAGTTCTCATCATCAAATTTCTCCCCATAGATGGACTTGCCACCAGTGCCATTATGGCGTATGAAGTCACCACCCTGACACATAAACCCTGGAATAATTCTGTGAAAGCAGGAACTCTTATAACCAAATCCTTTCTCTCCAGTGCTCAGAGCACAAAAGTTTTCTGCTGGCTTTGGAACCTTGTCTGCAAACAGCTTGAAGGAGACGCAGGTCTAAAGGCTTGCCGTCAACGGTGATGTTGAAGAACACGGTGGGGTTGACGATGGCTGATGTTACAGGGCTCCTGGCGGCAGTGGCATCTGCAAAGCAAATAATGTATTATTTTGTTTTATTTACACAATGAGAGCATATCACTGCATTGCCCAGGCTGGTCTGGAATGCCTAGGCTCAAGGGATCCGCCCCACCTTCACCTCCCAAAGTACTGGGATTACAGGTGTGAGCCACCACGCCTGGCAAGATGGAGCTGTTCCTATTGCACATGGAGAGGTGGCCCAGTCTTTTCACAGCTGCACATATTCTGTTTGTGTGGATGGTCCCTAATTTATGTAACTCACCTCCCACCCATAGGCATCTGGGTTGCTTCCAATATTTCCTTATTACAATCAGTGTTGCAAAGAATAAGGTTATACAGAGATCATTTTACCCTCACATGAGTGTATCTATAGGAAGAATTGAATGCCTTGAAGTGGAAATGTTGGGCCAAAAAGCATAAGCTTTTGTAATTTTAATGGCTATCTGCTCTGCTCTCCACAGGGGCACTTGTGGTATTTTTCAATGATGTTATGTCTACTGAAAGGAGCCAGCCTGGCATAGTAGCAGAAATGCCAGAGGAAGAGAGGAGACTCCTGACACTGAAACCCCAACACCACAGTAACTTGCCGTGTGTCACTGGGAATGTTGTCTTCATTAGCTCCTTACCTGAAAAGTGAGGGGGCTGAATAATGATGCCAACGGTCTCTTCCAGACCAAAAGCCCAGGGATGGGCAATTGCCTTTGCTGGCTTTAAGGCAAGCCAGAGAGCAATGACCCTGGTTACTCTGAATAACAATAATGAAGTCAGAGGTTTTTGCTGTTCTGCAGGCAAGCATCTCAGCACCGCATCCCTAAATATAATAGAACAAACCAAGCCCTGAAGTGCACATGGCATTTACGAAAAGTCTTGGCTGGGTTCTGTCTGCAGAGAAGCCCTAGGCCCTATGATTACAGGCTCAGGAGTGGGAGAAGGATGCTTGCTTTTCTCTGTATTTCCTTTTACATCATCAGAATTTAGCACCATGTGCATGAATTACCTATTTAAGAATAAATTCACTACTTAAATGGAAAAAGCCTCTAAATAAAAGTCCTGGCCTAGGGGTGAGAGGGTCCGGGTTTTAGTTGCTTCACCTCTCTGAGCTTCTTTCATCATTTTTGACAAATAAGGGGCTTGTGCAAGATGAGCTTTCGCCAGTGCCTTCCAGGCCAGAGAATCCAGGGTACCAGAGTGAGTATAAAAGTGTCTAAAAGAAATAGACTTTGGGTCAGACAGAACTGGGCCTACATCCTGGGTCCTCTACAGATCCACTGTGTGACCTTGGGAAGTTACTTCTCTGTGCCTCTGTTTCTTCATCTGGGAGGTGGGAAATAATAACACCCACGCCACAGGTCAAGTGTCTGAAGCAGGATGCTGTGAAGAGGCAAAGGCATTCAAAATTCTCTGCAAGAAATGAGTTACACCGCGGACCTTACAAAGGACCCCCCCCATCCCAACAACCTCATTTCACAGCTGGAAAAAGTGCAGCCTAGAGAGAGGCAGCCACCTGGGCATCAGGAGAGGATCCCCGTGAGCCTCCCTTCCCTCTTCCTGCAGCAGAACTTCCGGGCCTCAGCAGAGTCGGCCCTTATTTAGTTCCTTGTGCATGTGGCATTTTATCTGTCAGCTGGTCCCAAAGGATCATCTTTTCTCATGTTTCCTGTCTGGGGCCACAGCTGACACCATGGTCTAGTCACAGGCCACTGGGGCCATCAGCATCCCCCTCCCCCACCAGCTGCTGAACTGCAGCCACTGTATTGCACTAGCACCTGGTGGCCAACTCCAGGCATATTGGGATCAGAGGCAGCCCACTCAAGACCCTCTGCTCTCTGCTCTCCAAGAGGACCAGACACAGGCCCCACCATGGGACAGGAGGCTCTGAATGTGCTGTCCCAGAAAAGTTGGCATGGTCTACACTTCACATTAATCCACAGATGATGGAGCTGGGGAGGAGGGAGAAAAGGAAAAATCAGGCAAGAAGAGCCTGAAAACCACCAGGTAAGGTGGGGAACAGAAGACACGTTTCAAGATGAAGTTCATAGAGGACCTTAGCCAGGAATGGAATCTTCTCATTTTGTGTCCCTAGCCCATAGCATGGCACAGAGTGCTCAGCAGATGAGGGAATGCATGAATAAATGAACAAATAAGCAAACAGGACAGGGTGCTCAGGTGGAAGCCTGGGAGCGGCCCCATGCCTGTGCCTGTGGGGCAGGTGCCTCCTGCAGAGGTCAGGGGAGGCTGTGTCCTCTTCTCCCAACGCATGCTGGGAGTCCCTTTTGGAAGGAAAGCCCAATACACATTGGTTTTGGGGATTCAAGCCTAATCCCTGACCCACCTCTGCATCCACCCCCCAATTCTGAGGATGAAAGAACAACTGAGGCCCTGTTGGACTCTAGGCACCACAGCTGCTGTTCATGGTGCTAAGCTCGGAGCTAAATCATAAAGATAGGCATCCTGATGCATCCCCGCCCCCTTTTTTTGTGTGGAGACAGGGAGGAGTTAGTAAATACGCATCCACAGATTTGTGGGAGCAAAATCTTTTCTTCTTATATCTGAAACTATAAATTCATCTCTCATCTGACTCCTATTATATATGTAAACAACTTTATAGGAGAAAAATAAAAGAATCCAATAAACCCCGAAGTCACCTCTTTTTAAGCCACTCCTAGCGCTTGCCATTGTACACAAATGTGTTTACACTGCATGGAGCAAACCTGGCACTTCAGGCCATGCCTGGCAGGCTGCCTTGTGGACACTGTCTAGGATCCGCCTATTTCAAATGCTCACCCCTGTTCGTGGGCACGTGATATTCTACCATATTTGCCTAACCATTTCTCAACTATCAGGCAACTAACTGCTGCTAGCAGTAATGCAGCTAGGAACCCTGTTGCCTAAATTGTGTATTTTTTTCTTTTGAATTTTCCCCCTGGTGTAGCATTAGGTCTAACTGCATAGGGGACTGACTTTTAAACTCTGGTGAGGGGCTACCCTGTGAGGGACCATGCTGGTGACAGTCAGGACTCACTGCTGCAGGCCTCCAGGCAAGAAGAACTTTGGGGACCCTATTGAAGACCAGCAAGGGAACACGGAAGCAGTACAGACAAGACAGGCTCTCAGCCAGGCTATCTGGGGTCCCATCTCAGCTCAATCTATGACAAGTTGAGTGGATTTGGGGGAAATCTGAGCCCTCCAAGCCCTTGTTTCCCAAAGGAACTGGATGGCTCTGGAATTTGGAGTAATAATTATCTGCCCAGTCCAGCCCTGGAGCCAATTCCACTGGAACCAACATGGTCTGTCTCACCTCCCACCCTAACCTATCTGATTCACCACACCTCCAGACTCTGGGCTGGGCCCTGCTATTCCTTATCCAGGCCCAAAGAGCCCAGAGCACACATCGGCTAGCAAAGACGATCTTGGGGTTTTCTTGCTAAACAACAGCAGTAAGATTTGTATGTCTAATGATTGTTAAATGTGATCGTTCCCATTTATCAGTGAAGTATTGTCTAAAAACATTTATGAAACCTTACAAAAATTCAAAAAAAAACAGCAATGAAAACTTACATCTCCCTCATCAAGTTCAAGAAATAAAACTTATGGGTTATAACTGAAGCTCTCAGCCCCTTATATATCCCTTCCCAACCCCAATTTCCTTTCCTCCCTCCCCAAAGTAACCACCACTCTGAGTTTGGTATTTAAGTTCCCTTGCATATTTAAAAATACTTACTAAACGTGAATATCTAAAATAATAAGTAGTATTGAAGGTTTTAAATTTTTTTGTAAAATTATCATACTTAACACTCCCTTCTACTTTTTTTCACTCTACATTATGATTTTGAGATTTTTTCATGTAATTTTTCCATGTAATTCATGCTTGTCACCACTGTATAGTGTTCAATACACTGTATGCTATAACTTCTCTATTCTCCCATTGATATTAGATTGTTTTACATTTTTCTCAGTTATAAACACTGCTGCAACAAGCATGTGTGTTCATGTCTCCTTGTGCACAAGTGAGAGTTTCCAGGACTGGAATTGCTGGCTCAAACAGTAGGCACATCTTCTGTTTTGTCAGATGATAGTAAAATGTTTCCAGAGGGTTATACTAATTTATACTTCCAGCAGTAGCACATGGGAATTCACAGTGATCCACAACATTGGCCTTGCTTGTTCAACTTTGTAACTTTTGCCAATCTTGTATGAAATGGCATCAATGGCATCTTACTGAGTTCCCCCTAGCTTTATTGAGGTATAGTTTATATCCAATAAAATTCACCCACTTTAAGTATAGAATGTTAGTTTTATACAGTTGTGTAATGACCACTATGATCAAGATGTAGAAAAGAGCCATCATCCTAAAAAGTTCCTTCTTGCCCTGATTCCCAGCCCTAAGCAACCACTGATCTGCCTTCTGTCACTGAAGTTTTGCCTTTTTTTCTTTTTAATTACATATAAATGGAACTATATGGTATATATTCTTTTTGGGTCTGGCTTCTTTCACTTAGCATAATTATTTTATGATTCTCCTTGTGATAGCATGTATCAATACTCTCTTCCTTTTTACTGAAGAGTAGTATTCCATAGATGAATATGGATGGCCATTTGGGTTGTATCAGTCAGCTCATGCCGCCATAACAAATACCACAGACTGCATGACCTAAACAACAGATATTTATTTTCTCACAGTTCTGCAGGCTGGGAAGTCCATGATCAATGTGCTGGCAAATTCAGGTTCTGATGAGGGCCCTTTTCCTGGCTTGCCTTCTCTCCTTCTTGCTATGTCCTCAAATGACCTCTCCTCTGTACATGTTATCTCATATTGTATCATAGTTATATCAGCAATTCCATTCCTAGGTATATACCCAATAGAATTGAAAACATGTTCACACAAAAACGTGTACACAATTGTTCAAAGCAGCATTATTCTAATAGAAAATTAGAATAGAATAGAAAAGGGAAACAAGCCAAATGTCTATCAAAAGATGAATGTATAAACATAATGTGGTAGATCCACACAATGGAGTATTATTCAGTCATAAAAAGGAATGAATAACTGATTCATGCTACAACATGAATGAGCCTTGAAAACACTATGCTAGGTGAAAAAAGACCCAAAAGGCCATATATTGATGTTGTATAATCCATTTATATGAAATGTCCACAACAGGCAAATCTATAGACAGAAAGTGGATCCTTGATTGCCATGGGCCTGGGGGAGGATGGAATACAAAATGACTGCTAATGGGTATGAGAATTTCTTTTGGAGTGATAAAAATGTTCTGGAATTAGCTAGCGGTAATGGTCGAAAACTTTGTGAATCTACTAAAATACTACTGAATTGCACACTTTTAAAAAGAGTAAGTTAAAAAATAAAATTAAACGAAAGGAATGACCTATCAGGCCTTTGAACCTGGATGTCAAATTGCCAGCTCCAAGCAAACAAAGTTCAATCCATCATCCAAGATGCACACCAAAAAGACAAATATTGATATAGTATTGATATAGTTTATTCTTATCAATAAACCTCTGAAATGAGGAAAATAAATACAGTGAACGTTTCCTCAACTTTTTAGATGACTATAGAGTTGTATCTTCCTGCTTTTTGAAGAATGACTGATCTTCCTCTTAGAAAAAATCTTACATCTTGTACAAATATACGTCTTCTACAAATACATCTTGTACATCTTGTACAAATACAGGCATATTTGTTGAATTGAGTGATAGGGTTCCACGTCAACACCAACCATCTCTATGCATTAAGCAAGTGTCTGGATGGGAGGCCAGGTCCTCTCAGGACAATGCTTGCTCCAAGATGGACTTCTTTCTGCCCTTTTCACTAACTGCCCAGGGAGGCCGACCACCAGCTATCAGCAGCCTTCAGGTCTGGCCTTGGCTGGGTGTCTGACCCATATGGTGAACACACCCTGGAAAGCCTTGAATATCCTTCAGCTTCTTCACTGGTAGAATGGTGGGGTCAGACTAGATCAGGGAGATCAACACTAGAGCCCCTAAGAAAAGGTAGGTGGCTGGTGACCAAAGGGTTCTGAGGTTTGGGCATGCTGAGTCACAGTATGGAACAGGCCCCTTACTGCAGGGCCTCTCTGAGTTTTCAGGTGTTGGTGTGGGAAGCAGGACAGAGGTAGGGACTGAGCTGAGCCCAGTCAGATCGGGCTGACATTGTGGTTCTGGCACTCCTCAGCTGTGTGATGTCAGGCAAATTATTCCACTTCCCCAAGCCTTAGTTTCCTCACCTCTAATACAGGAACAAGAGTAACTCCCTCACGGGTTGGCTGGGAGGCAATGTGTCAAAGTGGAGCTAAATGATTAACATTCTGTGAATTACAGCTTTGTCCTGGCCCCCATGGGAGCTCAAGGGTTTTGAAGAGCAGGAGTTTGCCAGCGAGAGGTGAAGGTAAAGGGAACCCAAGGCAAGGGTAAGAGCAAGTACAAAACATGTTGGCAGGACTGGACATGGTGGATTTGAGAATGGCTGACCTGCAGATGTCTGGGGGGACTCAGCATGGTGGGGCTAGCATGAGGGAGATGGGTACTAAGGAGTCATTGCGGAAGAGAACTCTTGTTGGAGTGGTGGGCTAGGGCCAGATCCCCATCAGAAGGAGCCGTGGAATGGTTTTAGTAAGCTCATTCTGTCAATTGTGCTGACCACAGTAAGGGAGGAGAGCAATGAAGGTGCTACATGGGCGAGGAGGAGGGTCTGGACAAGACCCTTCGCTCTCCTAGCCTCCTGGCTACCAGGTCCCTCTCAACTGCAGGAAATGTATGAAGAAGACTTGGGGCCAGAGATCAGACTCAGGAGAGCTGAGAGGGCCCTCGGACACCCCAGGGGAGAAGTGAGGCAGGTAAGTGCCGGGCTTCAGGCTCTGTGCTGGGAAAGTGTGCAGGCAGCACACAGCCCACTTTGAACTAGGAATTACATTCACATGGTCTAAGATACAAAAAGAACAAGGGGGCCAGGTGCAGTGGCTCACGCCTGTAATCCCAGCACTTTGGGAGGCTGAGGCGGGCAGATCACGAGGTCAGGAGATCGAGACTATCCTGGATAACATGGTGAAACCCCATCTCTACTAAAAATAAAAAAAATTAGCTGGGCATGGTGGCGGGTGCCTGTAGTCCCAGCTACTCGGGAAGCTGAGGCAGGAGAATGGCGCGAACCCGGGAGGCAGAGCTTGCCGTGAGCTGAGATTGCGCCACTGCACTCCAGCCTGGGTGACAGAGCGAGACTGTCTCAAAAAAAAAAAACCCAAAAAAACAAAAAAACAAAAAACAAAAAAAAACCAAAGGGGAATCTGAGAAAGAAAAGCAAATGACAGAAGAGCCCTAAAGGTAAACGCTAGAGGAACAGAGTGGCAGGGAATGGAGGGACCTCTGAACCACTTTCTTTCCCAAGTAAAACAAGGTCTCCAAAGGGAGGTCAAACTTTTCTCCTTGAGAGCACCAGGAGAATGAACAGACCCTGTGCAGTTCAAAGAGCCTTAGCCTGTGTGACCTCAGGAAGTAACCACAAGATCAAGCTCTAGCAGGTGTCAGAGCAACCGAAGCCACAAGGCTTCTGTACCTGCCTCACTCTCCTGCCTCCTCCACATTGGGATTTCAGCTCACTCTGGCTCCCTCTTACTCCAAAGGGAAGGAAAGAATTAAGATACCGTACCTGGTAGTTTTAACTTACAAAAAACGTATTTATTAATCCAGTTTTCCTCTTCTTGCCATAATACATAAGCATGACACAGATGGCCTGATACATCAGCATGGAACTGTCAGAAAGCCCCACCAGTCACTGCTTCTAGAGTTACATGACTGGCTTTTGTTTGGCAACAGGACAATAATTACAGCGTGGTTTCAAGTACCATACACAAAGCAGACCAACCCCAGGATCTCCAGCATCTGCGAAGGCTCACTGGGGTAGGCCTGGGAGGAAGAATCCAAAGCACTGTACAGATGATCAAAACACTTCCGGTAGAACACTGCTGCAGCTGCACCTCTCCTTACAGAGCCAGAGCCTGCTCCATCAGAGGCCTGCTTCCCTTGGCTGATGGTCAGAAGGCTGCACAACTGGATCGCCCTAGGATACAGTCCCACATGACATCCCAAGGCTGGGCCACCATCATGATCTTTCCAGCTGGTCCGTCTAGCCAAGTGGTGCTACTGCTGCTTGTGTGGAAGGGGCTTCCAGGTGGGTGGGAGCTTCCTGTGGATTAGGGTGAGTCCGCAGAGAATAAGGAACACTCCTCCCCACCACAAGACCTCCTGGCACTCTCCATACAGCACATAGCCCAGGAAGGCCTGCGAGACAAAGATAGCTGTGAGGGACTCAACTTCAGCAGGTGGGCACAACCTCACTCTCCTGGGACTGACTTCCTTCTAAGGGTGCCAGGAGGAAAGGTCTGGAGCCAGAAGCCTTGGGCTTGAAACCTAGCTGTCACCTTCATCAAGTCACTCTATTCAATCTCCCCTGCATGAGTGGAGAGGCTACCTCCCTCACTGCACTGGACCTCAGCAAAGTACACAAGAAAGACCCAGCAGATGCCAGCAGGTAGACACAGCAGGTACATGGTATTTGTTTCTCCCTCAACTCAAGATTGACTACGCTCAGCTCCATCTTGTCAACCTCAGACTACACAGGGCAGAAAAGTTTCTGGGAATCCCAACCCTCTAAATGCCATGGAGCCTTGAGTACACAGAACCCTAGGAAACAGCTAGGATGCACAGTGACTTCAGAATGAGGGCTCCACCCTGGAGGAACAGCAAGCAAGTAGGCTTTTTACTGTCAGGCTTCACTCATATCTAACTTAAGAATTCTTCCATGATTAGAATTACATTTGCTCCATGAATAGAGCACTCATCCAGGGGTCAAGCCACAGCCCAACCTCTGCTTCAGTTCCTGTCCTTTCTCCTGTCTGGGAAAGGAGGGGTTATCCAAAGACAACTCACCCAGAACCCAGATTTAGGACAAGAGCACCACACCCTCAGGCTACTCACCGAGCTGAGGATATTTGAAAAAGTCACTGTGACAGATGCAATGGCTGAAGACATGGAGAAACTGAGGCCCCGGCTAAAGAAGGTCCACATCAGAGAATTGGTGCTCGCCATCACAATAATGCCTAAGACGCATAAACCCATGCTCACCTGCAGGAGAAAGTGTCACTGCAGCCACGTCCACCCTGGGCAGCAACCTGCAGACCCCCTCAAAGCACACCCAGGACTGTGGTTGCTGGCACCCAGGCTCCTACTGAGCTCCCACTACAGCTCAGAGGGCCTCAGAGCTTTCCTGCACAGGGCTTCACTTAACCCTCAGTGGGCAGCAGACCCATCTTACAAATAAAGCAAATTCAGAGAAGATACTCATTTGGCCACCTTGCTGGCCATATGATCTTGGGAAGAAGCAAAATGCTAATCCAAAGCCAGTATTTTCTACTGAACACCGGCCCCTTATTGGTCCCACAATGACCAGTGCTTGAAGATCAGTCCCAGAGGGCCAAGTAGTTCTTACTCCGTAGGTAGTAAGCCTAGGGTAGAGTTCTTATTTCTTGAGATCAGGCAAAGCATGAATTAGCAATGTCTGCTCTGTATTCCCACCCCCAAATCCTATACAAGTTACAGCCCACTAAGGCTGACCCCCTCTGGGTATTCTTGAGCTTTTACTCTGTGTTAGGTCCTGGGCTGTGTTTAAGCATTCTCATTTATTCCTTAACTTCATTTTACAGATAAAGAGCCAGGGGCATTAAGTAACCTTCCTAAAGTGCTACAGCGGTGAGAGCCACCAGGCTTCACAAGCAGGCAGTGTACCTCCATGCTCTTAACTAGGGCACAGCCTTGCCTGAGGGAAACACCACCTCAGACTATTTAGTGATCCCAGACATCCCTTGGAGAACTTGCAGGTATTTTCTTTCTTTTTTTTTAAAGGAGAAAGTCTCAAGAGAAGAGAAGATCTTTAGAAGCCTCCTACACAAAGGATATGCAGTCCCCCTTGCTTGGTGGTGAGTTAGAAACCTGCCTGGAGACAAGGCGGCGGGGGGGGGGGGTGCGGAATCTAAATATACTTATTACTTGTAATGGTTTCTCAGCAGCTGAACACATAGTGTCTTGAGAAAAAGGTGCTTGCTTATAACTTACACCAGGGTGTTCAATTTTTTGGCTTCCCTGGGCCACACTGGAAGAACTGTCTTGGGTCACACATATAATACACTAACACTAATGATATATGATGAGCTAAAAAAAAAATAATAAATCGCAAAAAAATTCATGTTTTAAATTTGCAAATTTGCGTTGGGCCGCGAGTTGGACAACCTTGTCTTACACAAAGCAGCATATGGGCCAGTGGCAACCTGCTTAAAGGGTTATGAAGGTCTAGTTCCTGACAACAAACTTCACGGCCCATACAAAGTTATTCATTTTACTTTCGACCACTTACCCCATGAACTACACCCAATGGGATACTAACCTGAAGCATGGCAGCTACTACTGGATTAGCCCTAAATAGGCTTAACCCTAAATAATCAGTGACCACTGTCCAGGTCAGAGGCTAACCTTGGGCTGCAGACGCAATGAAACCCCTATAGCAAGCAGAGGCTGGTCTACGACGTGGGAGGGAGAGGCAGAGATACACCTTAGCAGACGCCAGGATGCAAGTTTAGGAGTTCTCAGCGTCAGGAAAACATCCAGAACGTCTCTGTCAGTATCCTCTTATGCCTACAGTATCCCAAACTCCCAATTTTCCTGGTAGTGGGGCAGACTGGTCATCTGGTCACAACACCCGTTAATTACGGAGTAAAGGGATGGGCAAGAGGCTTCTCACCTTAAGAGTCACGTGGAGAGAAATGCTCAGGCACAAGGGACTTAAAATGAGAGGTAGAGGGTGGATGTAGGAGGTGTAGTTCTTCCCCGAGAGCGAACTAGCCCAACCGGAGAAAAGGTTTTAGGTCCCTGGTAAGGGAAGAGGCCTCAGTCCCCGACGTCTCTTACCACCTACACTGGACGAGGGTTTGGCGTGATTAGAGGCGAAACACTCTCTGCCACCCCAGCTGACCGCAGCGCCGCCCGCGGCCCGGGGCCCCGGCGGGACAGACCGGCGAGGGTGCGGCGGCGCCCTGCGCCCACCCCCGCCCCACCCCAAGAGCCCCGCGGGCCCCGCAGCGCCCCTCCTCCGCCCAGCGGCGCCCCGCCCGCCCGCCCGCAGCAGCAGCACCAACAGCGCCCCGGGCTCGACCTCGCTGCCGAAGGCCAGCTTGGCGGAGGCGGCGGCCAGGGCCCCGAACGCGCCGGCGCACAGACAGTTGAATACGCCCCAAAAGCGGCGCCGCATCGCACCCGCCTGGAGGTGCGGAGGGAATTCCGCGGGGGTGTCAGGGTACGCGGTCGCGGACACGGCGCCGCCCGGAGGCCCCGGCCTCTCGGCCATGTTGCCTGCTGACACCGTGCCTGGCACCCGCTGCCCGCAGGGCAGAGCGCGCGCCGCGATTGGATGGCAGCCTCACGTGACGCGACGCTCCTGTGACGCCACGCTCCGGCAGGCCCCTTGGGAATCGCTCTCCGGCGCCTCGGAGGGGGCGGGCCAGGTGGCAGAGACCCTGGGCTGTGGCGGCCTCCGGCCTAACCTGTAGTAGGTTTGTGCTCTGGGGAGGACGTCGGGACCCGAGGCCTGAGGCCAAGCCGGGTACTGTGGACGCTGTGGTAGAAGGTAAACTTCTCGCGGCTTAGCCGTCTCCATCCCGGCCACCCGGCTCCCGGTGAAACTTATTAAAGATGCCTAACGGGCCCCGCGCCGGCCCACCGAGTCCATCCACGTCGACCAGGCTTCTCCGCTCCACCCTCCAGCCTGAGGACCGCCGGACCAAGAGATGCCTCGGCAGAGGGCGCTGGGGACCTCCAGACCCAGAAAGACGCCAGAGCCCCATATGGGGACAAGCGCATCACAGAAAACCGAAAAAATGAGGATCTGCGATGAGAGGAAGACAATGATCCATAATCAAGCCACGCAGAATCAACATGACTTCTAATCTCCTGTTATACTTACGTATGTTTAGAATGTTTCCGGCTGGGCGTGGTGGCTCATGCCTGTAATCCCAGCACTTTGGGAGGCCGAGGCGGGTGGATCACCTGAGGTCGGGAGTTCGAGACCAGCCTGACCAACATAGAGAAACCCCGTCTCTACTAAAAATACAAAATTAGCCGGGCGTGGTGGTGCATGCCTGTAATCCCAGCTACTCGGGAGGCCGAGGCAGGAGAAGCGCTTGAACCTGGGAGGTGAAGGTTGTGGTGAGCTGAGATCATGCCATTGCACTCCAGCCTGGCCAACAAGAGTGAACTCCGTCTCAAAAAATAAAAATAAAAATAAAATGTTCCCATTTAAAAAGTACACGTCCTTGAAAATAAAGTGTTGAAATGTATAAAGTGCTATTTCCACTCTCCAGGAAAATCAGTGTTAATAGAGCATTTTTCTATATGTCTATTTAGTTATATATAGTTAAAATGTTAAAAAAATTATAGAATATGTATATGCATTTTTTAAACAAAAATGATTTCACAGTTGAACATACTGTTTAGCAGCATTCTTTTTGTATCTTCTGTTTAGCAAGTTTTTATGGAAGTCCTTCCACACCATGCTGCTTCTCTCACAGGGTGGTTTTGTGGCTCAAATAAAAGCACGGATAAGGCCAGGCACGGTGGCTCACGCCTGTAATCCCAGCACTTTGGGAGGCCAAAGGTGGGTGGATTACGAGGTCAGGAGTTCAAGACCAGATTGGTCAAGATGGTGAAACTCCATCTCTACTAAAAATACAAAAAAAATTAGCTGGGTGTGGTGGCGGGCACCTGTATTCCCAGCTACTTGGGAAGCTGAGGCAGAGAATTGTTTGAACCCAGGAGGCAGAGGTTGCAGTGAGCCGAAATTGCACCACTGCCCTCCAGCCTGGGTGACAGAGTAAGGCTCTGTCTCAAAAAAAAACACGGATAATTTCAGTAACGCCAATATGGTACAAACTGTCCCATTTTGCAGATGAGGAAATTGAGGCTCAGAGGTCTCACTGCACCACTCCATTGAGTAAGGAGCTGCTCAAAGATGATACCCTCTGAAAGCTCTTATCAGGAAATCAAGAGGTGTTGCATTGATCAACTCTGCATGCTTTAAAGAATGTAAAGCAAATTTTCTTAGAACAAACGATGCCTCTACTAGCACTAAAGGTTAAGCATCTCAGAGCCACCTCCTCTGTAAAGCCGTCTCTGCTACTCCCCTACCTTTGTACCAGTCCTGTGGTTGTTCCTCTGGTTGTCTGTTTCTCTGCTAGCCTGCAAGCTCCTTGAGGGCAGGGACTACATCGTTGTTAATCTCCAGGTCCCCAGCCCTGGTGATGATGGCTGAAGTGATGCCATCCTCAGACACTGCTGGGAAGTGATTTCTGCCTCTAAGAAACTCCTGTGTACACACATCACCTAGGGATCTTGCTAAGATGAAGATTCTCATTAGGTCTAGAGCTAGACTGAATTTTGTTTGTTTTTAGAGGGAGACAGAGTCTCTCTGTCACCCAGGCTAGAGTGCAATGGTGTAATCATGGCTCACTTCAGCCTTGAGCTCCCAGGCTGAAGCCATCCTCTCAGCTCAGCCTCCTGAGTAACTAAGACTACAGGCAGGTACCATCAAGCCCAGATTATATATATATGTATTTTTTGAGACAGGGTCCTGCTCTGTCTGCCAGGCTGGAGTACAGTGGTGGATCATAGCTCACTGCAGCCTCAACCTGCTGGGCTCAAGTGATTCTCCCACTTCAGCTTCCTGAGTAGCAGGGACTATGGGTGCATCATGCCTGGCTAATTTTTGTATTTTTTGTATAGACAGGATTTTGACATGTGGCCCAGGCTGGTCTTGAACCCCTGGGCCCAAGTGATCCACCCACCTTGGCCTCCCAAAGTGCTGGGATTACGGACATGAGCCACCGCACCCAAGCCGCCAGCTCCAAAAATTAGATTCCAGCCCTCAAAACCCACAACAGGACCTAATTAACCTCGCCTTCAAGGTGTACAATAATAGAGTAAAGGCAGCCAAGTAGCAATGTTTTTCTGAGTTGCAATTAGTTGCCTCCACTGTGAGAGAAACCCCAGCCACATCTCCAGCACACAAGAACTTCAAAACGTCTGAACCGCAGTGGCCAGGCTTTCCTCCAGGACCGCCTCCCACAGGAGCTTGCTTAAAGTGCCATAAATCTGGCCACTGGGCCAAGAAATGCCCACAGCCCTGGGATTCCTCCTAAGCCGTGTCCCAACTGTGCGGGACCCCACTGGAAATCAGACTGTCCAGCTTGCCCTGCAGCCACTCCCAGAGCCCCTGGAACTCTGGCCCGGGGCTCTCTGACTGACTCCTTCCCATATCTTCTCAGCTTAGCAGCTGAAGACTGATGCTGCCCGATCGCCTTGGAGGCCCCCTGGACCGTCACGGACACCGAGCTTCGGGTAACTTTTACAGTGGAGGATAAGTCCATCCCCTTCTTAATCAATACAGAGGCTACCAACTCCACATTATCTTCTTTTCAAGGGCCTGTTTCCCTTGCCTCCATAACTGTTGTGGGTATTGACGGCTAGGCTTCTAAACCTCTTAAAACTCCCCAACTCTGGTGCCAACTTGGACAACGTTCTTTAATGCACTCCTTTTTAGTTATCCCCACTTGCCCAGTTCCCTTATTAGGCTGAAATATTTAACCAAATTATCTGCTTCCCTGATTATTCCTGGACTACAGCCACATCTCATTGCCACCCTTCTTCCCAACCGAAAGCCTCCTTTGTGTCTTCCTCTCGTATCCCCCCCACCTTAACCCACAAGTATGGGACACCTCCACTCCCTCCCTGGCAACCCATCACACGCGCATTACTATCCCATTAAAACCTAATCACCCTTACCCTGCTCAATGCCAGTATCCCATCCCACAACAGGCTTTAAGGGGATTAAAGCCTGTTATCACTCGCCTGCTACAGCATGGGCTTCTAAAACCTATAAACTCTCCTTACAATTCTCCCATTTTACCTATTCAAAAACCGGACAAGTCTTACAGGTTAGTTCAGGATCTGCGCCTTATCAACCAAATTATTTTGCCTATCCACCCTGTAGTGCCCAACCTGTACACTCTTTAGTCCTCAATACCTTCCTCCACAACTCACTATTCCATTCTTGATCTTAAAGATGCTTTTTTCACTATTCCCCTACACCCCTCGTCCCAGCCTCTGCTTTTACCTGGACTGACCCTGACACCCATCAGTCCCAGCAGCTTACCTGGGCTGTACTGCCGCAAGGCTTCAGGGACAGCACTCATTACTTCAGCCAAGCTCTTTCTCTTGATTTACTTTCTTTCCACCCTTCTGCTTCTCACCTTATTCAATATATTGATGACCTTCTACTTTGTAGCCCCTCCTTTGAATCTTCTCAACAGGACACCCTCCTGCTCCTTCAACATTTATTCTCCAAGGGATATTGGGTATCCCCCTCCAAAGCTCAATTTCTTCTCCATCCGTTACCTACCTCGGCATAATTCTTCATAAAAACATACGTGCTCTCTCTGCCGATCATGTCTGACTGATCTCTCAAACCCCAACCCCTTCTACAAAACAACAACTCCTTTCCTTCCTGGACATGGTTGGATACTTTCGACTTTGGATACCTGGTTTTGCCATCCTAACAAAACCGTTAAATAAACTCACAAAAGGAAATCTAGCCGACCCTATAGATCCTAAATCTTTTCCCCACTCCTCTTTCCGTTCCTTGAAGACAGCTTTAGAGACTGCTCCTGCACTAGCTCTCTGTGACTCATCCCAACCCTTTTCATTACACACAGCCAAAGTGCAGGGCTGTGCAGTCGGAATTCTTACACAAGGACCAGGACCGCGCCCCATAGCCTTTTTGTCCAAACAACTTGACCTTACTGTTTTAGGCTGGCCATTATGTCTCCGTGCAGCGGCTGCTGCTGCCCTAATACTTTTAGAGGCCCTAAAAATCACAAACTATGCTCAACTCACTTTCTACAGTTCTCATAATTTCCAAAATCTATTTTCTTCCTCCCACTTGATGCATATACTTTCTGCTTCCCGACTCCTTCAGCTATCCTCACTCTTTGTTGAGTCTCCCACAGTTACCATTTTTCTGGCCCGGACTTCAGTCCGGCCTCCCACATTATTCTGGATACCAAACTAGACCCCCATGACTGTATCTCTCTGATCCACCTGACATTCACTCCATTTCCCTATATTTCCTTCTTTCCTGTTCCTCATCCTGATCACACTTGGTTTACTGATGGCAGTTCCACCAGGCCTAATTGCCACTCACCAGCAAAACAGGCTATGCTGTAGTATCTTCCACATCTATCATTGAGGCTACCGCTCTGCCCTCCTCCACTACCTCTCAGCAAGCCGAACTCACTGCCTTAACTCAGGCCCTCACTCTTGCAAAAGGACTACGTGTCAGTATTTATACTGACTCTATGCCTTCCATATCCTGCACCACCATGCTGTTATATGGGCAGAAAGAGGTTTCCTCACTACGCAAGGGTCCTCCATCATTAAGGCCTCCTTAATAAAAACTCTTCTCAAGGCCGCTTTACTTCCAAAGGAAGCTGGAGTCATACACTGCAAGGGCCACCAAAAGGCATCAGATCCTATCGCTCAGGGCAATGCTTATGCTGATAAGGTAGCTAAAGAAGCACCTAGCCTTCCAACTTCTGTCCCTCATGGCCAGTTTTTCTCCGTCTCATCAGTCACTCCCACCTACTTTCCCACTGAAACTTCCACCTGTCAGTCTCTCCCCACACAAGGCAAATGGTTCTTGGACCAAGAAAAATATCTCCTTCCAGCCTCACAGGCCCATTCTATTCTATCGTCATTTCATAACCTCTTCCATGTAGGTTACAAGCCGCTAACCCGCCTCTTAGAACCTCTCATTTCCTTTCCATCGTGGAAATCTGTCCTCAAAGAAATCACTTCTCAGTGTTCCATCTGCTATTCTGCTACTCCGCAGGGATTGTTCAGGCCCCCTCCCTTCCCTACACATCAAGTTTGGGGATTTGCCCCTGCCCAGGACTGGCAAATTGACTTTACTCACATGCCCCGAGTCAGGAAACTAAAATACCTCTTGGTCTGGGTAGACACTTTCACTGGATGGGTAGACACCTTTCCCACAGGGTCTGAGAAGGCCATCACAGTCATTTCTTCCCTTTTGTCCGCCATAATTCCTGGGTTTGGGCTTCCCACCTCTATACAGTCCGATAACGGACCGGCCTTTATTAGTCAAATCACCCAAGCAGTTTCTCAGGCTCTTGGTATTCAGTGAAACCTTCATACCCCTTACCATCCTCAATCTTCAGGAAAGGTAGAACGGACTAATGGTCTTTTAAAAACACACCTCACCAAGCTCAGCCTCAACTTAAAAAAAAAGAACTCTCAAAAATAGAGCCCAAAAACTCACCAACCAACCAATCAATTACACTAAATCCCCTTGGATGCTCTCTAATTGGATGTCCTGCGTCCTCCCAATTCTTAGTCCTTTAATATCTGTTTTTCTCCTTCTCTTATTTGGACCTTGTGTCTTTAGTTTCTCAATTCATACAAAACCACATCCAGGCCATCACCAATAATTCTATACGACAAATCCTCCTTCTAACAACCCCACAATATCACCCCTCACCCCAAAATCTTTCTTCAATTGAATCTCTCCCACTGTAGGTTCCCACGCCGCCCCTAAGCCCACTTGAAGCAGCCCTGAGAAACATTGCCCATTATCTCTCTATACCACCCCCAAAATTTTTCGCCACTCCAACACTTCATCACTATTTTGTTTTGCTTTTCTTATTAATATAAGAAGACAGGAACGTCAGGCCTCTGAGCCCAAGCTAAGCCATCATATTTCCTGTGACCTGCACATATATATCCAGATGGCCTGAGCAACTGAAGATCCACAAAAGAAGTGAAAATAGCCTTAATTGATGACATTCCACCATTGTGATTTGTTTCTGCCCTACCCTAACTGATCAATGTACTTTGTAATCTCCCCCACCCTTAAGGTTCTTTGTAATCTCCTCCACCTTTAAGAAGTTTCTTTGTAATTCTCCCCACCCTTGAGAATGTACTTTGTGAGATCCACCCCCTGCCTGCAAAACATTGCTCCTAACTCCACCACCTATCCCAAAACCTATAAGAACTAACGATAATCACACCACACTTTGCTGACTCTCTTTTCAAACTCAGCCCACCTGCACCCAGGTGAAATAAACAGCCTGTTGCTCACACAAAGCCTGTTTGGTGGTCTCTTCACACAGACACATGTGACACTTTCCTTGCAATGAGTGATGTTCTGGGTTGAATTGTGTCCCTTAAAAAGATATGTTGAAGTCTTAACCCCTGGTACCTGTGATATGACTTTATTTGGAAATAGGGTCATTATAGTTATAATCAAATTAAGATGAGATCCTTAGGGTAGGCTCTAATCCAATATGACTAGTGTCTTTCTAAGAAGAGATAGAGGCACAAGGAAGAACACCAAGGATTCCTGACAACACCAGAAGCTAAGAGAAAGGCATGGAACAGATTCTCCCCTATGGCTCTGAGAGACTGTGGCCCTACTCACACCTTGATTTTGGACTGCTCGCCTCCAGAACTGTCAGAAAATAGATTTCTGTTGTTTTAAGCCACCCAGTTTGTAGTCATTTGTTATAGCAGCTCTACAGCTGATACAGGTGATCAGAACCAAGCCTCTTCATTATCAGCTTCAATATTCCACCTTCTTCTACCTCTGAGGCAGTTGCAGTGTCTGCTCGCTACCTTATATTTAATACTACATTAAAGTTCCTTTTTCATTTTTGGCCCTTACGGATTTACTATTTATTATTCCTTGAGAGTTCAACTATGCATTACAATTTTTTCCTGCAGTTTTATTAAAATTCACCCATTTTGAATGTATAGTTCCCTTTTTTTTTTTTTTTCACTCTGTTGCCCAGGCTGGAGTGTAGTGGTACAATCTTAGCTCAATGAAACCTCTGCCTCCCGGGTTCAAGCGATTCTTGTGCCTCAGCCTCACGAGTAGCTGGGATTACAGGCATGCGCCACCACACCCAGCTAATTTTTGTATTTTTAGTAGAGATGGGGTTTTGCCATGTTGGCCAGGCTGGTATTGAACTCCTGGCCTCAAGTGATCCACCTGCCTTGGCCTCCCAAAGTGCTGGGATTACAGGTGTGAGCCACCACACCCAGCCCTATAGTTCATTTTTTAGTAAACATAGAGTTGTGTAGCCATCATCACAAAGCAATTTTAAAACATTTCCACCACCTCAAAAAGTTCCCGTGTGCCCAGTCATTCCCACTCCCATCCTAGCTCCAAGCAGCCAATGATTTACTTTCTATCTCTATAATTTTGCCTTTTCTGGACCTGCCATAGAAATAAAAACATATAATATGTGGTCTTTTGGGTTTGGTTTTTCTTTTACTTAGCATTTTTTTGAGATTCATCATGTTGTAGCATGTTCCCTTTTTATTGCCAAGTAATATTCCATAATATGGAAAAATGTTCAATAGCATTAGTAATTAGGAAAATGCAAGTGATATAACTACACACCTAGGATGGCTGCAGTAAAAAACCTGACAATAACAAGTGTTGGTGAAAATGTGGAGAAATTGGAATACACTGTTGGTAGGAATGTAAAATGGTATACCTAAATGGTAAATTTGGAAAACAGGCAATGTCTTAAAAAGTAAAGACATGCTTTTCAGATAACCCAGTAATTCTACTCCTAGGCATGTGCTCAAGAGATATGAAATATATGTCCACACCATGACTTACACATGAACATTTATAGCTCCATTATTTATAATAGTCCTAAACTGGAAACAATTCAAGTATCCATCAGCTGTTGGATGGACAGTGTAGCATATCCATAAAATGGAATATTTGTCTCAATAAAAAAGAAAGAAGGCCCAATACACAGAAGTTCCTTGAGGGCAAGATTTGCTTTGTTCACTGATGATTAGTGCCTGGCATATTGCAGGTGTTCATTAAGTATGTGTTCAATGAACAACAGAATGAACAATGTAAGTCACTTTAATTATTATCTTAAAAAATGGCTTTATTTACAGTCATGGAAAATGCTCAAGAAAATACCTAAAGTAAGAATACAAAAATAATCTATATTAACAAGTTTGCTTCTTGTACCTGCTACTAAGTCAGTCATTAAACTCACTGCAGGTGTTGGAACCACCATATATTGTTAGAACTTCCATAAGAATCAAAGGAGATTATGGCATAATCTAAGAAGAAAATGATCTGGCTAATGTCCACTGTAAACCTTAGCTACAGGCTTTTATTTTTACAAAGACAAAAGGTTTTCCCTTAAGTTGATTCAAAGCCTTGAAGTAGGCCACTTAATAGCAGACTGCTGACTGTCACAGGGTGTATATGGATGCAGAATGTTCATCAGAAACTTGAGGTGGTTACCACCACCTTATAAACATTTAATAATTAAGGTCCATAAATTCAGCTCTCCTAAGTGGCCAGGAGTAGGTCTTACTTGTAAAAGAGAAGAAACATCTTCAAACAAGGTGATGCCTAGGTAGCTGACCGGAATCCTCAAGATTCACTTCTTTTCTTTTCTTTTAAAAATACATTTTCGGCACGCAACTTTTCTGTCTCCTAAGTAATTTTAAAAAAACAAAAAGAAAAAAAATAAGGCTCTAATTCTTACAGGAAGTGGTTTTTTTTTGCATTTATTAGGTGTATATTTCAAATTAAGACTGGAATTTTCAATGTGCAAACTAAACGTTAAACAAGAATCTGCTGTCTATGAAATGCCACTGATTGAATTAGGCTCAGAATAGCAACGACCAACTTTTTTTTTTTTTTTAATTCAGGAAGCTCCCTGAAGTAAGCAGTTAACTGATTCAATAATTAAGTTTTAATTTGGTTTCAATAAAATAATCATTTTTAAACCAGACAGAATTTATTCAGAATAATTTTTAGGTTTACCTCAGCAAGCCTGACATTTTCCTTCTTTAGTCGCACTACGTACTGAATCTTCTGATGCAAATTTTGGTGACCTACCAACTTTCCATTTTCCTCAGCAAGACACTCCACCTGCTTCCTTAACATTTCCATCTCCTGCAGGTAATCAATCCAAGGAGGGAAAAATGAGAAGTAGGTCTTAATTTTCTTTTAAAGTCACATTATTTCTTGCCTTCCAGGAGCACAGGAAGTCAGAGAGTCCAGAATCCCAGCTTTCAAGGCCTCACAACTCTTCATACAATAAAGCAACTCTGAACTAAGGACACCCAATCACAAAGTGAGTTTTACGCTAATTAGTTCTATTCATTTGAGTGTTCTAAGTATCATGAAAACACCAACACACTAGCACACCTGGGATGTTCTCTCTCTTTCTTCATACATTTCTTCCAGCTTTGATCTCAGTTGTTCTTTTTCCTGGAATGCTTTAGACTCCAAAGTTTGGGTTCGTTCGACTTCATCAGTCATTCTAAGGCATTCCATCTCTTTGTTGTAAAGGGCACTTTGGACTTCTTCTAGGCTGTAGGAATAGGTTATCACTTTATAGTATTTGAAAGAAACATAATCATAAAACAGTGCTCAAGTTAGACATGTGTACTGCAAGGCCAGAATTTTGATTTGAAAGTATTACTAATCTTTAGCCCTCCTCTGCTGATGGCAAAAGAAGACAGTAAGTGCTACATACCAGATATGCTTTTTTTGGTTTTGTTTTACCCAAGACTTTCATTTTGGAAAACTCCTCAAAACATTTTCTAAACAAAAAAAATTTAGAATAAAATTGTTTAGATTCAGCCCACTTGGGGCAAATGTAATTTAAGTATTATTATAATCTGCATGGTTTATTCAGTATCCCCTATCTTGATCATTTCTGATTTCAAAAACTGGTCCTCAGACAGTGGGACACCAGTCATTTCTTTCAATTCATTTCTTCAGTTGTTTAGAATTTATACACTTCATGTACATTTCACTGACTTTATAAAATGATCTGAATCCTGTAAGTTTCCCAAAACAAATGCCTACTTCACCCCCCACCCCCCTTTAGGGACAGGGTCTCACTCTGCTGCCCAGGCTAGAGTACGCTGGCACCATCATAGCTCACTGCAGCCTCCAACTCCTAGGCTCAAGCAATCTTCCTGCTCCAGCCTTTGGAGTATCTAGGACTACCAGCATGCACCACTGTGCTTGGCTAATGTTTTAAAAATTATCCGTAGAGATGGAGTCTTGCTATGTTGCCCAGGCTGGTCTCAAACTCATGGCCTCAAGCAATCCTCTTCTCCTTGGTCTCCCAAAATCCTGGGACTACAGGTGTGAACCACTGTGCCAGGCCTGCTTTTTATTTTATAATGCTCATGAAATGTAATGTTGACTGTTGAAATGATGTATTATTACACCATTCAAGGCCAGCTAATTTCTAGCTGTTGATTACTGAAATGATATAATACACAAAATTTAATACACCACTCAAAGCCAGCTAATTTCTAGCGGTTGATTGCTAAGATGATATAATACATAAAATTTAATACACAAAGGGCCAGCTAATTTCTAGGCAAGTTGTTTTTGGACTACATTCTGTGGATCTCAGAAGGACAGTCTGGGGAGAAGGGCACTGATGCTCTCCCAATTCATTGTTGGCTTTGTATTGGTTCCCCATTACTTTTAAAAGCATCTTCACAAATATATGGGTAACGTAACGTTTAAAATTGCTGTTGTAGGCTGGGATTGATAAAACAGTGCATGCCGTTTGCTGAAGTGTGCTTCACTTGCCCGCAGTGAAGTTTGGCCTGCTGTATGTTCCAGAGACAGCATATCATGAAGACTCTTGGTTACTAGACTATGAAATAAACTATACACCAAGTTAAATAGCTTTTACTCTTTTTGCTAGAAGACCTCAAATAGATATTAGTTCTAAAATAGCTGTAATTCAACCAACTAGCTGGATTCTCAAAAATCCTGTAAATAATCTGGGTTTCTGACTTAGCTTTACCACTAATTAGCTAGGAGCCGGACTCTGAATGGCTCATACACAGGTGAAAAGGCTGTTTTCCTATGTATACTCTGATTCTATGAAGCAAATGAATCAATGATTGGGTAACAAATCTTTCATAAATTGGGTGGTCTTTGTCAGCTGATCATTAAAAAGAATTTTTGATGGTAAATCACCATGTAATTTTTGACATATTTACTTGCATAAAGTTCAAATAACTGGAATACAGTACCCTATCAAAACTCCTTCATTGCCATTTACTTAACTATGTGAACAAGATTTCTCAGCATTTATATCTATAAAAGCAGAAAATACGAATAGAGTTGATGCTGAATCCTGTCTCATTTGAGAAGTACAACAGAAAAATGAGCTGACTGAAGAAAAAGCATTAGGTTAAAATACATTAAGAGATGCATTTCCACTAAAATTTTCCCTAAGTATAATAATTACTTATAAAAATTTCCAGTAAATTTAAGGCACACTGATTAATAATTGTAATGTGAACTCAATTGGTAATAAACATAACAAAGCCATATGATTAAAATAAATTTTTACAAATTACTTTCAATTTGTGTGTGTGTATGTATGTACATACATATATTTTATTGTTAAGTAGTATGATGGGGTTATCAATAAAAAAATTTTCCAGAAAATATATTAAATCAATATAAAATCCTGCAGGGTGTAGAAAGGAACTTCAATTACAAAGGAAAAAGGAAAAATGTAAAATTTTAGACTTGGAAATTTGTTCATGTATTTCTTAAACAGAAAGTAGCAAATTAGTTAAATACTTTTAAAAGAATGGCAAGAGCTTTATTTTCTTTTCTCTTTTTAAAAAAATTTATTTAAAAAAAATTTTAGAAATAGAGACAGGGTTTCACCATGTTGCCCAGACTGATCTCAAACTCCTAAACTCAAGCAATCCACCTGCCTCGGCCTCCCAAAGTGCTGGGATTACAGGCGTGAGCTACTGGGCCCAGCCAACAGCTTTATTTTCAAATGTCACTATATTGTATATCCCAGAATGTCTATTCTTTGTAACAATTTAAACTTACAATGAAAAATTTTAGATATAAAGTCAACTTCAAAAATATGCAAGAGGGTATATGATGTTTCAAAATCCTTTAAATCAGTATAATAAGCAAAAATGTTTGAAGATCTCTATCCCTAATAAGGAGTATCTACCCAGAAAAAGCCCAATAGCTCTCTAATGTTGTTTTGTTTGTGTTAATGCCAACCAGCTTACTTAGTTTGAATTTTACAGAAAATATAGTACACCTTGCTCATCAAAGAGTGAGGCCATTTATAAGGCTACATGAATTAATATGAAAACTTTATGAATAAATTAAACTCATGGCTTTAGAAAACATAAAGAGACCCAAGGGCTAGACCAGAAGAAATCAGAGTACTGATCTTTGGGTCTCAGAGGGCCTCAGGTTTTAAATCAGAGGAAACCAGAAGCAGAAGTGAAAAGGGACACCTGGTAGTTACATTGTTCTCATTGTCCATGAGGAAAAGCCCCATCGATTCCTCAAGGGAAGCTAGGCTTTTCCTGCTATTTATTTCTTTAAGATTTCTTTTGAAGTGGCTTCACATGAGAAACCCTTTTAGCAAATGGTATTTAAAAAAAAATCTGTAAACATCTATTAAATTCACTTATTACTGCAGAAGGAAAGAAGTTACCTACCTTGTGGTATATCATTCCTTTAGAGGAGAATAAGGAAAAGATGATCAAGATTTTAAATTACAAAATAGTACACTTACTCTGCTTTCATTTTCAGCATTTCTTCAACTATTTTACTCTATAAGAAGATTAAAAAAAGAAAATAAAAAGATTGCTTAGGTTCTTAAATAACATTGCTTAAAAAAGATAGAAAGGAACCAGCCCATTCTCCTTCATGTGAATAAAATCAAACCAATATCCTTTTCCACAGTGCCAGCTACACATACATAAAGTAAGTACCTATTTCCAAGACTTCATGCACTATGCCCTCTAAGGCTTCAAACAGGCCTTGGTACTTGCTTCTAAATGGAGAATTATATGTGTGCATGCTGAGCAGTAGGCTTGCCATGTAGGCATGAAGACAAATTCTTAATTCTCAGCTGTGTCTAAATACTAATGGTAAATATCATGCTAAACAGTGGAAATGCAGAAAAGACAGGAATTTCAATAGTAAAATGATTTCTAAAATATACTACCATAAATACTAACTATAAAAGCATTGCTCAGACAAGAAGAAACTATTACATAAAAAAAAATCTTACTTTTGCAAGTCTTTCTTTGATACTTTCTTCTTGTTCATTCTTCAGCTGTTGATTATCTGGATGATTCTGATCACTGCATAGATTAACAGGGGTGGGAGGAGGCATAGGAAAACACTGCTAAGTATATTCAAGTATCAATTTCAAATTCAAATCCATTATATGCAGCAATGCCAAGGTGTACAAAGAAAGGCTAACTCTATTGTGATTGGGTCAAGTCAGTACAGTTGATAAATGTGATTGACACATGGGGATGAAATAAGGCACTTCCCCAGAACTCAGGATTCCTCCCAGTACAAAAGCAAGATGAGATGAGGTGGGAAATATAATCAAGGATTGGTTGAAAGTAAAATACAGTAGAAACTTAGTTAAAAGTGGTAACATCTGAAGATCGAATGTGAACAAAAGGGGGCTGAAAGAAAGAGCCAAGAGCCTGGTATGAATGTGATCAGCTGGGAGGGGGCACATTTTGGGTAGGCAGGGTCGCTCTGGCCTCAGGCTAGTGGAGTCCTTGACTCTCTTTTGCTCAGGTTCCATAGTCAGTTGGCATTTTCTGATAACCACTCTGCCTTTCCGTGTATGTGGACACCAGGGCCAGATGTCCCAAGCACCAGATATGTCTTCATGGAAAAGGAATGTTCCAATATATAAAGTAAGAAAATTACATTCTAGATAATACATCTATCTCTGTGAGCCTGACCAGGTGAGGATAATAAGTTGAGTTTCTGTGTGCAGCCCCTGGACCAGAGAGACATCCCTCCCTCCCTCCTTGGAGAACCTTCCTGAATGTTGTAGGCTTCTCTAGGAATATCTCTCTCACTGGTGAGTAAAAGACCATTTCTTGAAGGAAAACAGAAGCTACAGTGAGGTTTCTTTCCCTTAACAAATCTGGCAGCCCAGACAAAAATGGTAATGAGTCCTCAATGAAGAAATACCCCAAATCATTAGGGAAAGATATGTTTTCTGTCCACTAATCCAAGGATTGGCAAACGTCTTCTGTCAAGAACGAGACAGTAAATATTTCAGGCTTTGGGAGCCATGCGGTCTCTGCCACAGCTATTCAACTTAGCTATTGTAGTGCAAAAGTAGCCACAACAATATTAAAATGACAGGGTGTGACTATGTCTCAATAAAATTTTATTTACAAAACAGGTTGTGAGCTGAATTAGGCCCCTGAGCTATAGTCTGCCCTTTCTCTAATTTTTCACAAAGAAGGTTCTGAGTAGCTCTTTTATATATAAGGAATGTGAGGCTATGAAATGAAAAACTTTTTTTTTTTTTTTTTTTTTGAGACAGAGTCCTACTCTGTCCCAGGCTGGAATGCAACAGTGCAATCTCAGCTTACTACAACCTCCACCTCCCCGGTTCAAGCGATTCTCCTGCCTCAGCCTCCTGAGTAGCTGGGATTACAGGTGCGTGCCACCACTCCTGACTCATTTTTTGTATTTTTAGTAGAGACAGGGTTTCACCATGTTAGTCAGGCTGGTCTCAAACTCCTGACCTCAAATGATCTGCCTGCCTCGGCCTCTCAAAGTGCTGGAATTACAGGCGTGAGCCACGACACCCAGTGAAAAACATCTTTTAAAAGACATTTATTCAACATCATGATCAGACTATGACATTTGGCAATCAACAGGATGAGTGCAAAGGAAAAAAAAAACACATTAAAACTCTTTGTTAAGACTGCTTTACACTTTCCACAGAACAGAAACTAAACTAACCTGTTATACAATTAGTCACAAATACGGTCCTTGAGTTTTTTACCCATACACCTGAGTATTGTCTAAAACATATCTTCTTTGTAGCAGCTAGGCCCTGCTACCAACTGTGCTTGGCTGAGTTCACAAATCTGTTGTAACCTGTAGTTTCCCTGTCACTTCTCTGGCTCTCCTCTCCTGCTAAGCTTTGTTTCCTGGCATTAATTAAAACCTTCTGCCACTGCCATAACTACTGCTGCTACTGGAACTGCCTGTCAACCTAAAAAGAAACTCAGAAAGACAGGCTCTTTAGAACAAACAAGTTTATCTAGGAATAGCAGAGGGATTGCAATTGCAGGGTATGCAAGCTATGACGGGCCATTAATGTATCCAGGGGAGTTGGGGAAAGGGAAAGCTTTTAAAGACAAAGAGAAATCCATGAAATAAAGCTTGAAATAAAGCTCACGGGTCACAGAAGCTCAGTGCAGGAGTTGGCGTTTATTCATTGGTGGAGATGGCTGTTGCTGAGTAACTGTCCTGGTGCTGGCAGCTTGTCTGAAATACTGCAGGCCTGAAAAATTCCTGTGATAAGCTCTGTTGCAGGGTGAGTGCAGAAGTGGGGCATGTGGGACCTGCAGGAATTTCTTGTGATAAGGTATATTATAGGCATGTGCGGTGAGAACTTTTTTAGGGCCTCCTGACTCCACTTTGTTAGGGTTTTGACATAAGTGACTCCATTCTGGTACTGGCAACTTTCACATGCCTTAGCCACCTTGATTTGATGTTTTGGCAACATAGTAGCCTCAGCCACCACAGGGGCCAGAGTTTCTTTCTTTCTTTTTTTTTTAGGTGCCAGAGTTTCTGTCTCCAAAGTTTCTTCTCTTCATGGGTTCAAAATTGATTGAAGATTGGTTGTTGTAATTACCAAAATCGTTGTAGTTCCCACCATCTCCAAAACTGCTTCCATCATTTAAGTACTAAATCCATTATAGCCATCCCTGCTGCCCCCATATCCACCAATACAGCTGCCTCCAAAGCTACCATTACCAGTGAAATTTTTCCTTGATGACCAAAGTTGTTACTCCCACCAAAACCACCTCCATGACCACCACCAAAGTTTCCAGAACCACTCTGACCTCTCTGGCTGGCTGAAGTACTAACCATTTCTTTCTTCAACATGGTTTTCCATACTTCATGGTAGTGGCTATGTACTTTACGGTATTTCTGAGAGACAATCTTATTCGCAGAGTCATGGCTGTCCTCAAAGGTTAAAAAAGTAAAGCTCTTCTTTTTGCCATTGCCTCACTCAGTCATGATTTCAACCACTCCTATTTTCTCATACCTTCACAATAATCTCTTAGGTGATGTTCTTCAGTGTCTTCTGTGATGCCACCAACAAAGATCTTTTTTACAGTTAACCAGGCACCTGGTCTTTGAGAATCTTTTCTTGACATCCCTCTTTGGTTTCACAACTCTTTCATCTGCCTTGTGTCGCCTTGATTTACGGCTGCATCCATCTCCTCCACAGTGCCATCTGTGAAAAACCAAAGGCCCTGGAATGCTTGGTGTTTGGGTCTCTCATTGCTATATAATCCATGAGCTTTCCTCACTACTCAGAATGGCTCCCCAGACTCTTATTGGTTGTTTCAAAGCTCAATCGTCTGATGAAGAGCTTCTGTAGCTATTCGGGCTATTTAAGAGACTCTGACTTAGATATGTTGGTAGTGGGAAGAAAGACTTGAACGATGCATCCTTAGTGGCATCCATGGGCAAAAGTAGTAAGCTTATGACGTATCTCTGAAATACGGTATTTTAAATTTTCATTTTACAAATGATCCGGAAATGTTCTATGTTCACAGTAGCTCTTGACAAAAGACAGTATACTAAATATAAGGCTTTTCTTTAATAGAATTGGACATATATGGAGCATATGAAAACTAGGTGAGCAGACTGTGGACTACCTACATCAGAATCACCTACAAAGGGAGGCACGTGCTTTTTTAAAATGCAGAATTCTGGGCTTCGCTCCAGCCCTACTGAATAAGATCTCTGATGCTCACTAAAATTTGAAGAGAATCATTTAAGAAGAGATTTTAGCATAGCCACCATTACCATCCTCAAATCTCTCCTGCCTCATTTAGGTTTTGAACAACTCATATCAGGGGTGTTTCTGGACAGGGCCAGGGAGCTGCAGGAGTGCACAAGCTTCTCTGTCAAAGATGTTGTGGCAACAGCATGGACAGCAGTCAGTGGAATTCGGTAAGGGCTTCTATCTCGGAGATCCCACTTTGATTCAATTCGACTTCTTGCATAATTTTACAGGCCACTATCATCTCCAAACTCTCACTCAGAAAGTTACAATAGGCAGAATCATAATTCTACCTTGTGTACTTAATAACTACTTTTCATTGACTGACACCTGCTACCAAACACTGTAACTGGCACTTTATACATGTAATTTTTAATCTTTAAAACTCCTTGTGAGAAAATGAACATTTTCTTCATTTTATTGTTAAGGAAAGTGAAGTACTAAAAGGGTAAAAAATATGTTGAAAATCGTATGACTTTTAAGTCAAAGACAAGATATAAGTCTGGATATGGCTGCCCCGACACTATGCAAATGTATCGGCAAATGCAACTACAAAACTGCCTTACCTGAAGCCAAAACACACTCAGAGAGATGTCTAAATCCAAGTGAATGCTCCTCTGTAAAATGCTAAGGATATCCTTCTTGTCCTGCCCAGGGGCTTTCCCTGGACCATGAGTTACGAAGCAAAGCCAACTAGTAGGGAATTCTCCCTTTCTCTGCAAGGCTTCTTGAACCTTGTCGATATTATATATACCTTAAAAAAATTTTTTTAAATATAAGTAATTTGTTTTAAGTATCTCACATGTTTTAAATTCATTTCAATCACTTTAAAACAAATGCAACAATGCCAAAAACGCACTGCAGAGCAATGCAAAGGTGAACAGATCAGACTTGATTCAAAATCAACCAAAAGACCATCTCCTGGATTAGTGGGAAACATTGTACACCTTGGGAAACCTGTGAAACCAATTCCAACCTCATTTAACTCCACACAGGCAGGCCAAGATTTAGCCCATAGAGTTCTCGTGGTTCTTTCTCACCTGTTTTCCTTTTGTCTTTTAATATCATCCAGCTGACCTTGCAGGAGCCAGTTTTTCTCTATTAACTGCTGACTTTCCAGGCGTAGGTTTTCCATTTCACGCAACTGCTCCTAATAACATCAAATCGTATCTTTTCAAAAAACACATTACAGTAGGCTTCATTTAGCTCCCCAAGGCCACCACTGAGACAGGTATTCCTCTTTTAAGTTCCTATGCAGAGACACTGCACTGGGTATTGCTGCATGAAAAGCAGACTGTGACAAGCTATTGGAGGCCTAGAATGGTGATTCATGATCACATCCACAGTGTCTTGAACACAGATTTTTAAAATCAATATCACAGAATTCATTAAAAATTAAAATTCCTTTGTGAATAAAGATGACAAAAATCTCTATATTGAAAAATGTTCTCAACTATTCGATTCTATTTATTACGTAGATTCTAATTAAAACAAAAAATTGACGTCACAGCTCATCCCTCAAAATACTCAATTGCATCCTAACTTGAAAATCATGAGCATAGCTATCTGGAAGAAATAAATACTTGTCTGCAAGGAATATCCTTTTGGATTTACTTGCCTATTATCTGATTTCGTTTCACCTGACCCAGTTTCTTCTAAGTTTCAAGATCATGGCAATCTGGATAACAGCCACATTCCTGAGATAGCATACTGAGAACTGCCCTAAATAAAAAGATTGGGAATAATCTTCTCCATGAATAACAAAACTCAAGATAAGTGCTGTCTTTATATACATCCCTTGGTTAAAGTGAACAATTTGTGTTCCTAAACAAAAACTCCCTGCAGAGCAATGACCTCACAGGATAAATGCTATCTTCTGTGGAGCATCACATCCTTCCCCATGCACCTACACACCTACCCAGACACTCTTCCATGTGCCCCACCCCTGAGCCATGTGCACACCCCACTACTCAGACAACATACCATCAAGTAACTGGGTAAAAACACTATGAGGAAGCTTAAAAAAATGGAAAACAAGAAAGTATTTTAAATTTATCAGAGACTAAAAAAATCTCTAATATATAAAAATGCCTATGAATCAATAAGAAAAAGTCCAGTGATAGAAAAATGGGTAATGGATATTGTTCACAGAAACAGAAAAACAAGATGCTCAATTTTACTCTTAAGAAAAATATAAATGTAAAACTACATCATTTAATACTTTAGCTATTAAACGGACAAAGATCCGAAATTCAGATAGCACCATGAGGTGAGGTTTAAGGAAACATGCTCTCACCTTCATTCCTGATGAGAGCATAGCTGGCGCAACCTGTATATGACACCATTGTGTAAAAACCAAATGGGGCAGGAGAGAATGCTTAGCGATGTGGTTATGTATGCATTAAAAAGCTCTAAAAGAAAGGGGCTACCCTGGAAGCCTCCAGGGACAGCAAAGTAGGTGGATTAGTATCAGGGGTAGAAGGAATACTTTTCTCTGTCTACCTTTCAGTTCTGTGCTTTTTGAATTTTGTATCCTCAGTAACCATGAGGATGCTGCTTAGTTTAAAAAATTAAATTGGCCAGGCGCGGTGGCTCACACCTGTAATCCCAGCACTTTGGGAGGCTGAGGTAGGCGGATCATGAGGTCAGGAGATCAAGACCATCCTGGCTAACACAGTGAAACTCCGTCTCTACTAGAAAATACAAAAAATTAGCCGAGTGTGGTGGCGGGCGCCTGTAGTCCCAGCTACTCGGGAGGCTGAGGCAGGAGAACGCTGTGAACCTGGGAGGCGGAGCTTGCAGTGAGCCAAGATCACACCACTGCACTCCACCCTGGGCGACAGAGGCAGACTCCGTCTCAAAAAAAAAACAAAAAAAAAAAAATTAAATTTACTGGCTGGGCATGGTGGCATATACCTATAGTGCCAGATACTGGGTGGCTGAGGCAAATGGATCACTTGAGCCCAGCCTGGGCAACATAGCGAGACTTGGTCTCTTTAAAAATAATTAAATTTACTGGAAAAAAAATCCAATTACCTTCATTCTGAGGATTTCAGCATTTTTGACTTCTCTGTCTTCATTTAGCTTTGTTACAAGGTGTTCCAAAGAAGTCTTAGAGGCTCTTCCATCTTCTATCTCTTGTTCTTGTGTTTCCAGGAGTTTTGCCAAATGTGTTTGAAAGTGAGGTGGTGTCTTAGGACTCTAAAATAAAATCACATCTCATCCAAATATCCAATTAAGTGATATTATAAAGATTTCTTTTAAACGTAAATGTCAAGTACATAAAAAATATTCTAGCTACGGCTGGGCATGGTGGCTCACACCTGTAATCCTAGCACTTTGGGAGGCCGAGGTGGGCGGACTGCCTAAGCTCAGAAGTTCAAGACCAGCCTAGGCAACACAGTGAAACCCTGTCGCTACTAAAATACAGAAAAAAAAATTAGCCAGGCGTGGCAGTGTGCACCTGTAGTCCCAGCTACTTGGGAAGCTGAGGCAGGAGAATTGCTTGAACCTGGGAGACGGAGGCTGCAGTGAGCCGAGATCATGCCACTGCACTCCAGCCTGGGTGACAGAGCAAGACTCCATCTGCCAAAAAAAAAAAAAAAAAAAAAAAAAAAAATCCGCTGCTTAGCTTATTATTCTAATTCTTTTCCAAGGAAATAAAAGACTGCTACTTTCATCAAGTAAAAAGCAGACAGAGGGTATTAGTGAAAATCTTTTTCTTTAAAAAGACAAAGGTATGTTCTTCCTAATTTCCAAATTTTTATCATTTACAAAACTGTTTCTTCCTCCTGAAATAATCTTTTTCTGAAAAGTACCTGGGGATCCTCAGCAGCAGAATCCATCACATGTTCTAGTTGCCTCATTTTGAAGTTATATTCATTCTTCTTCTGTTCTACTTCCTCTTTCTTTTGGTTTAGCTGGGAAAATTGAACAGATACAAGGTTACAACTTAGTAATATGGGGTACATGGTCCAAATAGAAAAGACAAACTTCCCATCACCAATCATCAGGGAAATGCAAATGAAAACCACAATGAGATATCACTTCGCACCTGATAGGGATGGCTATCATCAAAAAGATGAAAGTTAAGTGTTGGTGAGGTTGTGGAGAAAAGGGATCCTTGTATACTGTTGGGAATGTAAATTAGCACAGCCATTGTGAAAAATAGTATGGAAGTTCCTCAACAAACTAAAAACAGAACTACTGTATGATCCAGCAGTCCCACCTCTGGATATATATCCAAAGGAATTAAAATCAGTCTATTGAAGAGACAGCGGCACTCCCATGTTCTCTGAAGCATTATTCGTAATAGCCAAGCTATGGAGTCAACTTAACTGTCTATTGATGGGAGAATGGGTAAAGAAAATGTGCTATATATATACACAATGAAATACTACTTAGTCTTAAAAAGGAAGCAAATTCTGTCATTTGTGACAACATGGATGAACCTGGAGGACACTGTTCCAAGTAAAATAAGCCAGCACAGAAAGACAAATACCACACAATCTCACTTATATGTGGAATCAAAAAAAGTTGAACTCATAGAAATGGAGAGTACCAGAGTCTGGGGGAAGTGAGGGGTGGAAGGAGACATGAATCAGCAATGGGAGATGTTGGTCAAAGGGTATAGTTTCAGTTGGACAGGAGGAATACCTTTTGGAGATCTACTGCAGGGCATGGTGATTACAGTTATTAGGTTGATGCAAAAGTAATTGCGGTTTCTTCCCATGGCATATGGAAATATGCTGTATTTACATTATTTTTTCAGAACTTGATTAATAATTTGAAAAGCAGTAAGATATTAAAATAAACCTATGATATTTTTAAAAGTAATTGTGAAATCTAACTTGGTTGCTACTATAACCCAATCATCATCTCCTTTTCTTTTCTTTTTTTTTTGAGATGGAGTCTCTCTCTGTCGCCCAGGCTGGAGTGCAGTGGCGCGATCTCGGCTCACTGCAAGCTCCGCCTCCCGGGTTCACACCATTCTCCTGCCTCAGCCTTCCCGAGTAGCTGGGACTACCGGAGCCGGCCACCACGCCCGGCTAATTTTTTTTGTGCTTTCAGTAGAGACGGGGGTTCACCGTGTAAGCCAGGATGGTCTTGATCTCCTGACCTCGTGATCCACCCACCTTGGCCTCCCAAAGTGCTGGGATTACAGGTGTGAGCCACCGCACCTGGACCCATCTCCTTTTCTCTCACAAATTTATTTATACTTATAAAAATGTTCCAAGTTTCACAAGTAACAAAACAGTCATCTGAGAAAAATACAAAATATAAAATGACAACAACAACCACCAAAAATATGATAAAAGTCAGGCATAACCTCACTGGAGTGGTTAGAACTGGTTGCCATGTGTCAAGGACCTAAGGTGGGTGGGAGGCAGCTGAGCAAGTCTCAGTCCAGGTAAGGATACTCCATTAGCCTCCCCTTTGTACATGGAGAAGTTGGCCAATGCAGGAATGTCATGACAACCTCAACTGTGGATTCCTCCTGTCCCCCATTTTTTTTTTTTTTTTTTTTGAGACAGGGTCTCACTCTGTCACCCAGGCTGGAGTGCAGTGGTGCAATCTTGGCTCATTGCAACCTCCACCTCCCAGGTTCAAGCAATTCTTGTGCCTCAGCCTCCCAAGTAGCTGGGATTACAGGTGAGCGCCACCACGCCCGGCTAACTTTTCTATTTTTAGTAGAGACAGGGTTTCAGTTCACCATGTTGGCCAGACTGCTCTTGAACTCCTGACTTCAAGTGGTCCACCCCCTTGGCCTCTCAAAGTGCTGGGATTACAGGAGTGAGCCACTACACTTGGTCTCTTGTCTCCCATCTTGAGTGACACCTGTGTGTTTCTCACCTTGTGCTGAAGTTCCTGAATCAGGGCTTCCTTCTTGGTCAGTTCTTCCTGGGCAGACTGCAGCAGCCCCGAGTGTTTTTTTGAGGCCTCTGTGAGCATGTTCAGCTGCTCAGTGGCATGAGCCAGGTCCTCACAGAGCATATCCCTCTGTTAGGAGACAATCATCACAGTTTCTTAATTATGGTATTCCAATAAGGATTCCCAAATCATTACTATGTACAACTTTTAACAGACTAAGGAAGTTTTATGTAAAAACCTATTTCTTTTGCTTGTGTGCTAATCCATTCTAAGACAAAGTAATCAGTTAATATTTAGATGAACAGGTCTAGAGATTAACATTATTACAGTAAACATATATAGGTATCCCAATTGAGGTTTAACTGTACTCTAGGTTTGAGGTCTAATTGCATTCTCTCCTCACCCCCAGGATCTCAAGCCAATCTCCCTCTCCTGGGGAGGACTCAAAGGTCTCTTGGTTACTTGTTGTTGTCTCACCAATTGACTCTAGTCCTTTATATACTGGAAAGTAAACAGCTGTGAAGATGAGCCTCCATCAGCCAGTTGAGGAGGGCCTGGGCAGTTTGCACCAGATTGTGATTCATTGTCATAGACCATCAAAGTTTCAGGAAGTAGCTTTGTGGAAACTGGCACAGAAAATTAGAAGTCCTATAGGTTGCATACATAATTTCTATGTACACAGTATATGTAATTCCTCCCAAATTAGAGCAGATACTGCTTATCCTTCTTTTCCTTTCCAAATGTATATATATGTATGTAGGTATGTGTGTGCATGTATATATATATATACACACACATATATATGTGTGTACATAGACATGTACATATACATGGATATACACAGATATATATACACACATATAAACACACACTTTTAAAAAAACTTGACACATCACAAACATTTCTGCATGTACTCACTCTTTTCACTGTGTGGACTCCATTTCACCTTATGGATGTACCACAATTTAATCTATCACTAAATATTTTGGTTGATTTGAATTTTTCACTATTCTATGCACTTCATTCTTGTATCTAGATTATTTCTTTAGGCTGAATTTTTAAAAGTGCAAACTCAAAGGATATGTAAAAAATATAAGGCTATGTATTACCAGACTACCTCCCCAAAGGCTGAACATAAACTCCTCCAGAAGTTTGAGTAATCATCCTTGTCTGCACATCTTCCTTGGGTCTTAAACTTTACCAGTTATAAGATTAGAAAATAGCTGTTATTTTAATTTGTGAAACTGGCCCAACTGTCCCCTAGAACTGATGTTTATGGTTTCTTTTGAATAAACATAGAAATTGGCCCTCCCAGTCTTAAAACGTAAGAAAGTTACATTTGTCTTATCTGAGTTCCTTTCTCAGGGAACCAACCAACAGGCATCCCAGACAAGATCAAGGAACTGAAACTTACCAGATCATGGCAACTGGACAAATGAGATGCCAGGCCCCTCACCTGTCATGGCTGCCTAACTGACAACCTGTTTCCTGTTAACCAACTCCTTTTCCTTACCCCTCCCTAGTTCCTGCTTTTCCACACATGGTTACCTTTCTTGCTATATAAACTCCCAATTTTAGTCAGTCAGGGAGAAGGATTTGAGACTGATCTCCTATCTTGGCTATGGCACTCATTTAAAGTCTTCTTCGCTGGCAATACTCCTTGACTCAGTGATTGGCTTTCTGTGTGGTAAGCAACCAGACCTAGGCTGAACTCCTAATGTTTCAGGAACATTTGCATGTCTCTGATTCCAAAGAAGTTTTGTGCCACTATATTCCTTCTTTGGGGAGCTACCTATGTCCATTTTCCACCAGCTGTGTTTCTATCCTTCTCCTGAAGGATAAATTAAGGTGGTAAAATACTTTGTCATCAGTTGCAAATATTTTCCCCATCTGTTGTTAGAATTTTTGTTTTTAATATTGTATAATCTTCCCTTATGAGTTCTAATCTTTATATCAAGATATTTTCAGAGTCACATAAACTCAAGATATTTTTATGTATTTGTATTTTTTCTTCTCCTTAAAAAAAAATTATTTATTTATTTATTTTTTTAGACAGAGTCTTGCTCTGTCGCCCAGATAGAGTGCAGTGGCGTGATCTCATCTAACTGTAACCTCCACCTCCCAGGTTCAAGCGATTCTCATGCCTCAGCCTCCTGAGTAGTTGGGATTACAGGTGTACACCACCACACCTGGCTAATTTTTCTAATTTTTGTATTTTTAGTAGAGATGGGGTTTCGTCATGTTGGGCAGGCTGGTCTTGAGCTCCTGGCCTCAAGTGATCCACCTGCCTTGGCCTCCCAAAGTGCTGGGATTACAGGTGTGAGTCACCGTGCCCATCCCTCCTTTTGTTTTTTCAGAGATGGGGGCTCTTGCAACAACATTACCCAGGCTGGACTTGAACTACTGGACTCAAGCAATTGTCCCATGTCAGCCTCCTGAGTAGCTGGGACTACAGGCGTGCATTACCATGCCTGGCTTGTATTTTTATTTTCTAGTACTTCTATGATGTCATCATTTGTACAGAACTCTAATCCATGTAAAAATTGTTTTGGCTTTGATATCTTTTCAAATTGGTCAGACAATTTTCCCAACATATACATTGATTAAACCGACTCTTTCTTCACTGTTGAGAAATACTTCCTTTACCATTACACTAAATTCCTTCATATTCACTGCTCTCTATTTGTGGATGTTCAAAGTTGTTGCAATGATCTCTCTATCATCAGTCCAACACTGGATATGGTTACCATTTAGCTTAGAAATCTCTCTGCATTATTGTTTTTCTAAGTTTTGTTGGTAAATCTTGGGTATTTTTTTCAAAGGAACCTTAAAATCATCAGTTTTTTATACTGGGATTTGAGGCCAGGCATGGTGGCTCACACCTGTAATCCTAGCAATTTGGGAGGCTGAGGCAGGGGAGGATCACTTGGGTTTAGGAGTTCGAGACCAGCGTGGGCATCATAGTGAAACCTCATCTCTACAAAAAAATACCAAAAATTAGCCAGGCGTGGTGCTGCACATCTGTAGTCCCAGCTACTTGGGAGGCTGAGGTGGCAGGATCACTTAAGCCCAGGAGTTCAAGGCTGCAGTGAGCCATGATCGCATTACTACATTCCAGCCTGGGTAACAAAACAAGACCCTGTCTCAAAAAAATAAAAATAAATACATTGGGATTTGAAGTGGAATTACATAAATTTCTGTTTCTAAAACGACAGGGTCTTCCTGTCCAAGTCTCCCTTTAGATCCTTTTATTGAAGTCTCTTTTCATGTTGCTTGTAAAGTTTTATGTTCTTAACAATTGTCAAATATTCACCCTAAGATTTTGATACGCTATATTATTTCTGTGAAAGAGAATTTTTAAAAGCTCCTGTTATGTTTTTAAACTGTTTATTTAATATTATATATTATTTTAATTATAACATAATATTATATAATAATCTATAATAAAGCTATTCTTTATTATTATTTTTTGAGATGGAGTATCGCTCTGTCGCCCTAGCTGGAGTGCAGTGGCGCGATCTTGGCTCACTGCAACCTCTGCCTCCTAGGTTCCAGCGATTCTCCTACCTCAGCTTCCCAAGTAGCTGGGACTATAGGCACGTGCCACCACGCCCAGGTAATTTTTTTTTTTTTTTGTATTTTTAGTAGAGACGGGGTTTCACCGTGTTAACCAGGATGGTCTCGATCTCCTGACCTTGTGATCCACCTACCTCAGCCTCCCAAAAAGTGCTGAGATTACAGGCGTGAGCCACAGTGCCCAGCCCCAGTAAAGCTATTCTTTCTTTAATATTCAATTTCTTTCAATATCCCTTAGGGAAGTTTTATGTCCTTAACAGTTGTTACAAATTCTCTCCTAACGTTTTAACACTTTTGGTTGTTTTTGTGAATAGAATTTTTTAGTTCCAATATTGTTAAATGGTTATTAATGGCACATAGTAAATATTATTTTTAAGACTAATTTATAACTGATTACTAAACTCAATATTCTAATAGATATTCAGACAGTATTTTGGAGTCTCCATGTAGACACTCATGACCATCTGCAAATAACAGTCACTTTCTCTCAGTTTTTATGATATTTGTATCCCACTTAGTATTTCCATTTTACTGCATTGGCTAAGTACTCATATTGTTGAAAAACACTGATATATGAACAATTTGAATATACTGAACAATTCACAAACCATAGCCATAAAACTAAATTTTAGCTAATAAAGACTGAAGATAAGTACAAAGGGAATATGAATTAGCTGTTTATAGGGTCAATTCCACTTGAATCTAAAATGTATGAATCTAAAATACGATATTTAAATCTAAATACAATATTCGTAGTCACATTTTATTTTTAAGAAGAAAAAAGAGAGAAAGCAAGGAAGGAAGGAAAGAAGAGCTTTTAGGTAAACAGGCATGAGTTTTCATTATTTACCTACTCCCACTCAAATAGCTAGATTTCCTTTTAACTTCGTCAATAGTCAGTATGAAACTGAATTTTTAGCCCATCATCTTATACTTTGTAGGGGACCCTAGGTTGTGGCTTCTGTGTACTAACTTTTCAATTGGCTTGCTAAAACTATTTCCATCTGACACATATTGAGCAGTTACAAGGAGCCAGACACAGTTCTCAGCACTTTCCATGTATTACCTCAGTTCATCTCTGCAACACCTTATGCCAGCGGCCCCCAGCCCCTAGGCCACAGACTGCTATCAGTCTGTGGCTTGTTAGGAACTGGGCTGCACAGCAGGAGGAAAGCGAGCACAGCTTCATCTGTATTTACAGCCATTCCCCATCGCTCGCATTACTGCCTGAGCTCCGCCTCCTGTCAAATCAGTGGCAGCATTAGATTCTCACAGAAGCATTAACTCTATTGCAAACTGCGTGCCAGGGATCTCGTTTGGGCACTCCTTATGAGAATCTAATGCCTGATGATTTGTCACTATTTCCCATCACCCCTGGATAGGACCATCTAGTTGCAGGAAAACAAGCTCAGGGCTCCCACTGATTCTACATTACGGTGAGTTGTACAACTATTTTATTATATATTACAATGTAAATATAATAATAGAAATAAAGTACACAGTAAATGTAATGTGCTTGAATCATCCAGAAACCAGCCCCCCTCACACTCCTGGTCTAAGGAAAAATTGTCTTCCACTAAACTGGTCCCTGGTGCCAAAAAGGCTGAGGACCACTGCCTTATGCAGTAGGAAGTACTGTTATCTCTACAGATATGGCAAATGAAGCACAGGGAGAAATTTAACTTCCCCAAGGTCACACAGCTAGAATTCCAACTCCGTAGCCTGTGCTCTTAATAACTTGTTACTATTCTACCCTTACTTTCCTTTTATTCTAATTTTTGTTGTCTACTTTAATCTTCTTTTTTTTTTTTTTTTTTTGAGATGGAGTCTCGATCTGTCACCCAGGCTAGAGTGCAGTGGCATGATCTCAGCTTGCTGCAACCTCTGCCTCCTGCAACCATTTTCCTGCCTTGGCCTCCTGAATAGCTGGGATTACAGGCACGCACCACCACACCTTGCTAATTTTTGTAGTTTTAGTAGGGATGGGGTTTTACCATGTTGGCCAGGCTGGTCTGGAACTCCTGACCTCAAGTGATCCACCCGCCTCGGCCTCCCAAAATGCTGGGATTACAGGTGTGAGCTACCACGTCCAGCCTATTTTAATCTTATATCTTATGTGTGTTAGCAGCTTCAAATCCTTTCTGCGATGTAGCAAGATATAAATACAAATTACTGGGAATAGCCATCTTGGATATCTACCCCACAGGTCCTTAAAATTCAAAACTGGTATGTATAAAATGCATCTCATTAACTTTCTGTGGGCCTCTATTCTTTCCATCTGAAATGTGCACAGAACCATTCAGTCCTCCAGGCTAGAAAGCTTGGTGCCCACTCTGACTGCTTCTTCCCTTCATGGTACATATCCAACTGGACACCAACAACTGTCACCTGTAGCTCTGAAACATTTCCCAACTCTATCTCACCCCCTATCCCCACTAGCATTTCTTAGCTCTGACTTCATGACCTTCTGCCTGGGTTCAATGTCTATGCAGTTTTGGTTTCCTAAAAGATACAGCTGACGTTCCTCAAGACACTTCACTACACAGGCTCAGTCTGCCCCCACTTCACTGCCAGCACCTTGTATTGGCCACCCTGACTGCCTGCTGTGCTTGGGACACTCCACACATGTTCACACTGCCAAGCTTCCCTCTCTGGCAAAGTTGTGTACAAATACTCTCTCTTCTGAGGAGGTCTTTAGAATTTCCCCTGGCAGAATTACTCCCCTCCCTCCCTTTTCTGTGCCCCCAGGTTATTACATCATATTACACATATCTCTTAAGCTAGAATGCATGCTTTGATGTAAGTAACAGTGTTTTTCAATCATCTTTCCATTCCCAAATGCCAGGCCGGGTACAGGTTGTATAGTAGGTGGATTCAATATTTGTTGAATTTGTTTCATGGGTAGCATAGGTTAGCCAAAACCCCTTTATTTCTAAAGCAAATATAGAACAATTTATACAATAGGTTATCATCTGTGTGGGGAAAAAAGTAAGGCTAAAAGTATATAGGATTGCTTAAAATATCTCTTGAAAGTTACACAAGAAACTGAAAACATGGGGGTAGCTGAGGAATAGGAAGGGCTGGAAGAAAATCCATATTGCTCCTAGCTTATATACTAATTTTTAAAAAGATAAGTTCACATCATCAACAACAAAAAAACTTCCTTTAGCTGTAGGTTACAAATTAACCTGTACTGCTTAATTTTTAAAAAGATAAATCTACATCAAAAAAACAAAAATAAAACTTATCTTCGCTAAAATGCAAAAGACAACCCTGAAATCAGCCTGTTTAAACAGCCCTTTTCTGCTATCTGCTACTATCACTGCATCCAATTAAATGCAGTTTCCACTCTGCTCCCCTTACAGGGGTCAGTTATAGGAAGTTAACGTGGTGTCAGCAAAAATGACGGAAAATAGATTAGCTAGATAAAATATAATAATTTTGGTGAAATTATTATACATGACTATTTGTATTATTATACACTATACAATAATACATTAGTAGTATACAAATACTATCTCCTCAAAGGAGACAGTATATGTATAAGACTGCCAGAGGAGGAAGCTTGGCAGCGTGAACGTGTGTGGAGTATCTCAGGCACAGCAAGCAGTCAGGGTGGCAGCATGAGGTGCAGGCAGTGAGGTAGAGGTAGAATGAGCCTGTGTAGTGAAGCGTCTTGAGGCACATCAGCTGTATAAGAATTATTTCTTTAAAAATCCTGTATTTATTCATTAATAACTTCCACACACAAATACACATATTGACAAGTAATAAGGCAAACAAAGAAGCTGTGATGCGTTAATACCTACCTCTATGTCCTCAGAAAGTATTCTCAGCCTAAGGGTTTCTTTCAGATCCAGAATATCCACTTCCTGCTTCTTGATCAACACTCTGCTCTCTTCTCTGTCAACCAAAGCAGAGTTGTATTTGCACTGTAGAAAAGAAAGTCATGCTATAAGAGCCATTTTATTTCCTGTTTCTAGATTAAAATAACAAGAATGAGTCTGGGTTCCAAGGTGATGACAAGATTAACACAAGATAATTCAATAAATACTTGCTGACTGAAGGAATAGAAGAATAAGTGCATGAATGGTGAAGAGAAATGGAAAAGTCCTCTAAGTATCAGTGAAAAAAACACAGGGTTTGTCATCTACTGCCTTCAGAAATAAACATGGAGTGCAGCAAGCTCCCTGTAGAGCAGAGGAGTGAGGAGGAGTGACAAAAGCCTTCGCCTCGACCCAGAGGAGAAAAGCATCAACACTGAACTCAGATACATGCTGACAAAATAAGTAGTTAACTTTAGGAAATGATATTATGTCCAATATTGCGGAAACGAACTCACTTTCTAATTAATGTCTCTGAACTTAACTGCAATGTGCTACTGTGTTACTTTTTCCTCAAAGCCACTAAAAAACACCACATTTGCCTTAACTGTTACGGCCAGCAACCAGCCTGTTTCTTATTCAGTTTATACCGGCATTCCCAAACAGTGCACAGAGAACATTGTCCCAGATCAGTGAAACCTGAGAAACACTGCAGCCTACATTGTCCCCCAGAGATACATACTACACACTTCCATAATGACTCTGCAAGTCCTACAAACACACAAACCTGTTGAGCTTTATTTAACTAGAATTTCCAAACTTATTTGACCACAGAATCTTTTTTCTGGTGGAGCATCTGTTAAACTCTTGAAAAGTCTGTGAAGTGTCCCATGCTCAAATTTAACATCTTGTTGGTGACCGAACTTACATTTATGTCCTTCAGTTCTTGTTTCAGGGTGTCTATAGTTTCTGTTTTCTCACAGACCGATGTTCTTAGCTCCTGGATCTGGTTCATGAGGTCAGCTACAACTTTCTGATGAGGACAGAAATAATATCTTCATACCCAATGACATTAAGGAGAAGAAAATTTTTAAATGGTAAATCACTTATCTTTCCTAATGGCAATATAAGTCAATTTTATTTTAGTAAAAGATCGTATGTCACATTAGTATCAATTTATATATATAATATATATACATATATTATATATGCATATATTATATATATACATCTATAATATATATACATCTATAATATATACATATATAATATATACATCTATAATATATATACATCTATAATATATATACATCTATAATATATATACATATATTATATATACATAATATATACATATATAATATATACATATATAATGTATATACATATATAATATATATGCATATATAATATATAATATATACATATATAATATATACATATATAATATATACATATATAATATATACATATTATATACATATAATATATATGCGTATATTATATATGCATATATTATATACACATATTATATACATATATATTATATATGCGTATATAATATATACATATATATTATATATACATATGTAATATATATACATACACACACACACACACACACACACATATATATATATATTTTTTGAGATGGAGTCTCGCTGTGTTGCCCAGGCTGGAGTGCAGTGGCGCGATCTCGGCTCACTGCAAGCTCCGCCTCCCGGGTTCACGCCATTCTCCTGCCTCAGCCTCTCGAGTAGCTGGGACTACAGGCACCTGCCACCATGCCCAGCTAATTTTTTGTATTTTTAGTAGAGATGGGGTTTCACCATGTTAGCCAGGATGGTCTCGATCTTCTGACCTCGTGATCCACCCGCCTCAGCCTCCCAAAGTGCTGGGATTACAGACATGAGCCACTGCGCCTGGCATCAATTTATATTTTAATGGCTTTATAATTTTTTTTTTTGAGACAGAGTTTCGCTCTTGTTGCCCACACTGGAGTGCAATGGTGTGATCTTGGCTCACTGCAACCTCCACCTCCCAGGTTCAAGCAATTCTCCTGCCTCAGCCTCCCGAGTAGCTAGGATTACAGGCATGTGCCACCACACCTGGCTAATTTTGTACTTTTAGTAGAGATGGGGTTTCTCCATGTTGGTCAGGCTGGTCTCGAACTCCTCACATCAGGTGATCCACCTGCCTTGGCCTCCCAAAGTGCTGGAATTACAGGCGTGAGCCACTGTGCCCAGTCTATAATATTTCATTTAATCATTTGTTTTGGTTTTATGAATGTATATGAGCTAGACATAGAAGAATTTTATACGTAATTTAAACTTGGACATACAGACTATTTTTATTATTTTAGTTAAAGTCAACACCAGGAATTTGAAAATTTGTATCATGGGACTTAGAGTCAACAAGAAAGGGTCACACTAATATCAGCATCCTAGTTAAAAGGGTAGGATGCGTTTTAGAAACACTGCCATCCAAAGTGACAGTAGTTTGTACTTGAAGTTACATGGCAAATTAAGTGGAAGACCTCATTCTCTAGGAACCTTGGAGGATGAACAAGGCTTAACTGCATATAGAAATATTCATATTATCTATTGGTCACCCTGGAGGTGCAAGAAGAGGTAGGAGAACAAAATGTTAAACTAGCATTTATAAGAAAATGCACAGAGAGATGTAGCTTCAAACTCTACCAACCTTATCAGAATCTCTAGACTTTTCCAGGGAACTGATCACTTTTTCAGTAGCAAGCAAGCTCTCTTCTAGTTTCTGTACTTTTGCCATCTATGGTGAAAAAGAAATATTTTTAGAAGAATAATTAAATCGCAAAGTTAACCATACACACAGATAAACAAGTTGAAAGCAGCTTTTCATATTATAGAGTCTATGCTAGGAGTAATACTTGAAAATGATAAATTGGGTTGAAAGACAGTGATTTTGTGCTGTCTACCAGGAGACTACCAACAAATTATTATTGTAACCCTCTGGGAGTTAGAAAAACAAGAGTCGAAAAACAATAGGCCAGGCACGGTGGCTCAGGCCTGTAATCTCAGCACTTTGGGAGGCCAAGGTGGGTGGATCACTTGAGCTCAGGAGTTCGATCCTGGGCAACATGGTGAAACCCCATCTCTATAAAAAATACAAAAATTTAGCCAGGCATAGTGGTGCATGCCCATAGTCCCAGCTACTCGAGAGGCTGAGGTGGGAAAATCACCTGAGCTTGGGAAGTCAAGGCTACAGTGAGCCATCACTGCGCCACTGCACTGCAGCCTGGGTGACAGAGTGAGAAACTATCTTAAAAAAAGAAGAAAAAAATAAAATTAAAAATAATAGAACCAGCCCCAAATTCCATTTCTTTCTTACTAATTTCCAACATCTGCAAGCTGAAATCATTATAATAAGCCTTTTAGGTATCAGGAATAAAAGTTATAAACTTCAAATACTAGAGTTAGAGTAACAGGAATTTTACCTGCTGCTCACACTTGGCCGTCTCTTTCTGTTTCTCCTGACGTACAGCCTCAAGAACTTTTAAGATTTCTCTGGAAGAGAATAATTATCTTTTACCCCTGACTTCACTCAATGAAAACAGGAACTGAATCTGTTAGTACAGAATAGATTAAGTGCAAATGAACTTTGTTAGGCACACCCTTGGTGTCAGGCATTACCTTCCGGGGGGATCAGAAATTTGAACCCATTTCTTCAAAAATTATTCAATGAGAACCCATTTTTGTGCCATGACTGTTTTTCCTCAGAGTGTTTAGTACTCCTAAATATAACATATATCATATAGTATTTGTTTATTACCTGTCTCCCTGTGCTAGAAGTTAAAATCCACGAGGACAGGGATGTTTTGTTCACTGTTTCAACTCTAAATGTTCTGGAATTCACCAGATCAGTGCCTGGCTTGTTGGATATCAATAAATGTTTGAATAAATGAGTAAATGTCAATTGCTTGTCTCTCAACTGGATGTAAGCTCTACGTTCACCACTGTATACCAGGGCCTAGAAGAAAAGCGACCTCATAGGAAGAACTCCATAAGTACCTACTGAATAAACAAATTCTTCTCATTAGAGTGACTCTCAGCCTAGTGACCGAGGCCCAAAGATTCACTGAGACTACTAAGGAGAGGAACCTGGAAAGAGGGAAGAAATATGGCAGCATTCCTGTTAGGGGACATTCCTGGTAGAAAAAGATTTGTAGACACAGAAATAAAAATCTGTCTCCTCCTTCCAATAATAAAAGGAAGAGTTAGAAGTCATCTTATTATATATTTGCTGTGATTTATTTACAGAAGGCCCTGAGTTCTGATTACCACCAATTGCTATTCATTTAAAAGTACTATAGCTAGTTGTTACATGTTTTGAAAAATTAAGTTTCTCCACATAGCCATTTATACAAAAGAACCTGCTGTTGCTTTTGGAATGCTTTAAAAAAATAACTCTTTACAGGGTATTGGCAATAAAAAAAAAACAAGATTAAGAATGTGGTATTAAACAATATTCTAGTATGCTAGTAGAAAAAATAAATAGCACTCACTTAGAACTGTTTTCTTTATCTTCTTCAAACTGTAATGATAATTTGTTATTGCGTTCTTTTTCTGCCTCAAGAAGCTCCATCAAATTCTAAAAGACAACATTAGATTTTAAGTAACTGTTACTAGCAATGCATAGTCAACGAACATGTCAAGTACCTTCTATGTGGCAGGCACTGTGGGCAAGTATAGCAAAGAAGGAGGAAAGGACAGTCCTTGTCCTACACTCAAAAGGACAGTCACAGATGCGGGACAAATTCACCCTTCTTAACATACATTCAGATCAGATTTCAGAGTTTCATTTTCTTTTTTGAAGTTTTGGAGGTTTCTTGAAAGTTGGTCAATCTCAAATTTCATTATTTCTTGTAAGTTGTCATAGGAATCCTGTAGGCAGGCTTTGCTCTCAAGCAGCTTTTCGTTTTCTAACCTTTATAAGGAAAACATTTTAAAAATGGTAAATAAACATTTAATGTATTTCTATTAATCAGATCATCTGCAGTTCAATTTATCTCATCTACAGCCCATTCCCAACTCACATAAGCCTCGAGTGATATAAGGCTCCTTATGGACCTGTGTGAAATGTCCATGATGCACAAACATGTGAGACACACTGGACCATAGAGTAGTTTGGTAGGAACAGAAAAGACAAGTGGGAGCATTAGCTTGCAAGCATCACTTCCTCATTCTTTCTCCATGGCTTCAACCAGACATGCTTAATGGATGAGCAATTTATAGTGATTAGACTCATTTAGGGGTTTCCAGACCTAATGCTCACGTAAGCCAGGCACTGGCTGTTAATTTCCAAGTTTTATTGATAGCTCAACTCCAACTATTCATACATCCTCTCAGCTCTAGGAACATTAAGATGACAATGTGAATTTGATTTGAGCAAGAAAGAAAATGTTTTTGGAAGATAATTACTGCTTTTTTTGGTTTTCATCCTCTTATTTCCCTCCTGAGTAAGCTGTAGCACCTCCAAGAATCCAGAGCTCAGCCAAGAACTACCACACAATCAATCTGACCTCTGGATCATCCAAAGCAGATGTCCTAGCTTATGTACAGAAGGTTATTATATATGGAATATCTGCTGTACTAACTCAAAGCAGAGCAGAAGCAGCAAATCATAAAGTGGTATAAATCAATTGCTAAAGACAGATACATGGGCAATAGATGGTAGGGAAGGGGAACATATTTATGTATTTATGGCATAAACTATATAGATATAGATATATAAAGTAGACAAAATAATTCAAGAAACACATGGCAGTGTCATGCTGTTTCATTCACAGGACTTAACAACCATTGAAGGCCACAGTGGAATATAAGCAGCCCAGTAAATGATGTACTTAAACTGGAGACACTGAGAAGGTTAAATTGTGTTCAGTGTATTTAAAAAGCTAGGAAGAGGCTGGGCACAGTGGCTCATGCCTCTAATCCCAGCACTTTGGGAAGCTGAGGTGGGTGGACTGCTTGAGCTCAGGGGTTTGAAAACAGCCTGGACAACATGGCGAAACTCTGTCTCTACAAAAAATACAAAAATTAGCTGGGTGCACTGGCATGTGCCTGTAGTCCCAGCTATGTGGGGAGCTGAGGTGGGAGGACAGCTTGAGCCCGGGATATTGAGGCTGCAGTAAGCCGTGTTTATGCCACTGTGCTCCAGCCTGGGTGACAAAGTGAGACACTGTCTCAAAAACAAACAAACAAACAAACCTAGGAAGTATTTAATGATGAAAATAGAATTTAAGTATGTAGCAAAATATAGTGGATTCTTAACATTTTTTGATGTAGTTCAACTCTGACATATAAACATTAGGAAATTAAGATCCCATGAGATTAGTGACTTCAAAACAAATTACACAAAATAGTTTGAGTTGAGGCCAAGATTATTAGATCCAGTGATTCAGAAGTTAAAACAAATGCTAAGGGTAAGAGAAGGCAACAGTGCACCTGTGATAAGTTATCAATAAATTACCTATTTTGTTTAACTAATTTGAGTTGGGTTATACCACTGCACTTCAAGTAGATTACAGGCCAATCAGACAACTAGATAAGTGGACTTGGTGCTGGGGAAATGGGACAGGGTGGTGGAGGCTGTGCTGACCCAGACAGCACATTCTGTCTCTAAAGAGAAAGGGGTGAATTTTGCAGCAACTGATGGCTGCCATGCAGGGATGTGGGCCTAGTGGTACCAAATAGTATGACTTTGCTAGAGAATGCTGAAATATAGATTTTTATAATAAAACACTCAATTTTTAAAATGCTATGTTCATTTATTTTTCTTTAGCCACTGGGCAGGCCTAAGAAAAATGTATGTGAATTAGGCAAGATGGCCAAACAGGAAGAGCTGCAGTCTGCAGCTCCCAGCGGGATCGATGCAGAAGATGGGTGATTTTTACATTTCCAACTGAGGTACCTGGTTCATCTCACTGGGACTGGTTGGACAGTGGGTGCAGACCACGGAGGGCAAGCTGAAGCAGGGTGGGCGTCGCCTCACCCAGGAAGCGCAAGGGGTCGGGGAATTTCCCTTTCCTAGCCAAGGGAAGCCATGACAGACTGTACCTGGAAAAATGGGACACTTCTGCCATAATACTGAGCTTTTCCAATGGTCTTATCAAATGGCATACCAGAAGATTATATCCCGCACCTAGCTCGGTGGGTCCCACGCCCACGGAGCCTCACTCACTGCTAGCACAGCAGTCTGAGATCGACCTGTGAGGCAGCAGCCTGGCAGGGGGAGGGCCATCCGCCATTGCTGAGGCTTGAGTAGGTAAACAAAGCGGCCTGGAAGCTTGAACTGGGTGGAGCCCACCACAGCTCAGCAAGGCCGGCTGCCTCTATAGATTCCACCTGTGGGGGCAGAGCATAGCTGAGCAAAAGGCAGCAGAAACCTCTGCAGACTTAAACATCCCTGTCTGATAGCTCTGAAGAGTACAGTGGTTCTCCCAACACGGTGTTTGAGCACTGAGAATGGACAGACTGCCTCCTCAAGTGGGTCCCTGACCTCTGTGTAGCCTAACTGGGATAAACCTCCCAGTAGGGGCCGACTGACACCTCATACAGGTGGGTGCCCCTCTGGGACGAAGCTTCCAGAGGAAGGATCAGGCAGCAATATTTGCTGTTCTGCAGCCTCCGCTGGTGATACCCAGGCAAACAGGGTCTGGAGTGAGCCTCCAGCAAACACCAACAGAGCTGCAGCTGAGGGACCTGACTGTTAGAAGGAAAACTAACAAACAGAAAGGAATAGCATCAACACCAACAAAAAGGGCATCCATACCAAAACCCCATCTGTCAGTCACCAATATCAAAGACCAAAGGTAGATAAAACCACAAAAATGGGGAGAAACCACAGGAGAAAAGCTGAAAATTCTAAAAACCAGAGCGCCTCTTCTCCTCCAAAGGATTGTAGCTCCTCACCAGCAATAGAACAAAGCTGGACGAGAATAACTTTGACGAGTTGACAGAAGTAGGCTTCAGAAGGTCGGTAATAACAAACTTCGACAAGCTAAAGGACCATGTTCAAACCCAATGCAAGGAAGCTAAAAACCTTGAAAAAAGATTAGACGAATGGCTAACTAGAATAAACAGTGTAGAGAAGACCTTAAATGAACTGATGGGGCTGAAAACCAGAGCATGAGAACTTCATGACACCTGCACAAGGCTTCAACAGTCGATTCGATCAAGTGGAAGAAAGGGTATCACTGAGTGAAGATCAAATCAATGAAATAAAGCGAGAAGAGAAGTTTAGAGAAAAAAGAGTAAAAAGAAATGAACAAAGCCTCCAAGAAACATGGGACTATGTGAAAAGACCAAATCTACATTTGATTGGTGTACCTGAAAGTGATGGGGATAATGGAACCAAGTTGGAAAACACTCTTCAGGATATTATCCAGGAGAACTTCCCCAACCTAGCAAGGCAGGCCAACATTCAAATTCAGGAAAAACAGAGAATACCACAAATATACTCCTCGAGAAGAGCAACCCCAAGACACATAATTGTCAGATTCACCAAGGTTGAAATGAAGGAAAAAATGTTAAGGGCAGCCAGAGTGAAAGGTCGGGTTACCCACAAAGGGAAGCCCATCAGACTAACAGCGGATCTCTCAGCAGAAACTCTACAAGCCAGAAGAGAGTGGGGGGCAATATTCAACATTCTTAAATAAAGAATTTTCAACCCAGAATTTCATATCCAGCCAAACTAAGATTCATAAGTGAAGGAGAAATAAAATCCTTTACAGACAAGCAAATGCTGAGAGATTTTGTCACCATCAGGCCTGACTTACAAGAGCTCCTAAAGAAAGCACTAAAAATGGAAAGGAACAACCAGTACCAGCCACTGCAAAAACATGCCAAATTGTAAAGACCATCGACGCTAGGAAGAAACTGCATCGGTACTGCTGACATCTCAGCTCACTGCAACCTCCCTGCCTGATTCTCCTGCCTCAGCTTGCCGAGTGCCTGCAATTGCAGGCACGCACCGCCACGCCTGACTGGTTTTCGTATTTTTTTGGTGGAGACGGGGTTTCGCTGTGTTGGCCGGGCTGGTCTCCAGCTCCTAACCGCGAGTGATCCGCCAGCCTCGGCCTCCCGAGGTGCCGGGATTGCAGACGGAGTCTGGTTCACTCAATGCTCAATGTTGCCCAGGCTGGAGTGCAGTGGCGTGATCTCAGCTCGCTACAACCTCCACCTCCCAGCCGCCTGCCTTGGCCTCCCAAAGTGCCGAGACTGCAGCCTCTGCCCAGCCGCCACCCTGTCTGGGAAGTGAGGAGCGTCTCTGCCTGGCCGCCCATCATCTGGGACGTGAGGAGCCCCTCTGCCTGGCTGCCCAGTCTGGAAAGTGAGGAGCGCCTCTTCCCAGCCGCCATCCCATCTAGGAAGTGAGGAGCGCCTCTTCCCGGCCGCCATCCCATCTAGGAAGTGAGGAGCGTCTCTGCCCGGCCACTCATCGTCTGAGATGTGGGGAGCGCCTCTGCCCCGCCGCCCCGTCTGGGATGTGAGGAGTGCCTCTACCCGGCCGCAACCCCGTCTGGGAGGAGAGGAGCGTCTCTGCCCGACCGCCCCGTCTGAGAAGTGAGGAGCCCCTCCGCCCGGAAGCCGCCCCGTCTGAGAAGTGAGGAGCGTCACCGCCCCGCAGCCACCCCGTCCAGGAAGGAGGTGGGGGTCACCCACCGCCAGGCCAGCCGCCCCGTCCAGGAGGGAGGTGGGGGGGTCAGCCCTCCGCCCGGCCAGCCGCCCCGTCCGGGAGGTGAGGGGCGCCTCTGCCCAGCCGCCCCTACTGGGAAGTGAGGAGCCCCTCTGCCCGGCCAGCTGCCCCGTCCGGGAGGGAGGTGGGGGGGTCAGCCCCCCGCCCGGCCAGCCGCCCGGTCCGGGAGGGAGGTGGGGGGGGTCAGCCCGCCACCCGGCCTGCCGCCCCATCCGGGAGGGAGGTGGGGGGGTCAGCCCCCCCGCCCGGCCAGCCGCCCCGTCCGGGAGGGAGGTGGGGGGGTCAGCCCCCTGCCCGGCCAGCCACCCCGTCCGGGAGGTGAGGGGCGCCTCTGCCCGGCCGCCCCTACTGGGAGGTGAGGAGCCCCTCTGCCCGGCCACCACCCCGTCTGGGAGGTGTGCCCGGCAGCTCATTGAGAACGGGCCATGATGACAATGGCGGTTTTGTGGAGTAGAAAGTGGGGAGAGGTGGGGAAAAGAGTGAGAAATCGGATGGTTGCCGTGTTTGTGTAGTAGGAGGTAGACATGGGAGACTTTTCATTTTGTTCTGTACTAAGAAAAATTCTTCTGCCTTGGGATCTTGTTGATCTGTGACCTTACCCCCAACCCTGTGCTCTCTGAAACATGTGCTGTGTCCACTCAGGGTTAAATGGATTAAGGGCGGTGCAAGATGTGCTTTGTTAAACAGATGCTTGAAGGCAGCATGCTCGTTAAGAGTCATCACCACTCCCTAATCTCAAGTACCCAGGGACACAAACACTGCGGAAGGCCGCAGGGTCCTCCGCCTAGGAAAACCAGAGACCTTTGTTCACTTGTTTATCTGCTGACCTTCCCTCCACTATTGTCCTGTGACCCTGCCAAATCCCCCTCTGTGAGAAACACCCAAGAATGATCAATAAAAAATAAATAAAAGTTTAAAAAAAAAAAAGGAAAAAAAAAAGAAACTGCATCAACTAACGAGCAAAATAACCAGCTAACATCATAATGACAGGATCAAATTCACACATAACAATATTAACCTTAAATGTAAATGGGCTAAATGCCCCAATTAAAAGACACCAACTGGCAAATTGGATAGTCAAGACCCATTGGTGTGCTGTATTCAGGAGACCCATCTTACGTGCAGAGACACACATAGGTTCAAAATAAAGGGATGGAGGAAGATCTACCAAGCAAATGGAAAGCAAAAAAAACCAGCGATTGCAATCCTAGTCTCTGATAAAACAGACTTTAAACCAACAAAGATCAAAAGAGACAAAGAAGGCCATTACATAATGATAAAGGGATCAATTCAACAAAAAGAGCTAACTATCCTAAATATATATGCACCCAATACAGGAGCACCCAGATTCATAAAGCAAGTCCTGAGTGACCTACAAAGAGACTTAGACTCCCACACAATAATAATGGGAGACTTTAACACCCCACTGTCAATATTAGACAGATGAATGAGACAGAAGGTTAACAAGGGTATCCAGGACTTGAACTCAGCTCTGGACCAAGCGGACCTAATAGACATCTACAGAACTCTCCACCCCAAATCAACAGAATATACATTCTTCTCAGCACCACATCGCACTTATTCCAAAATTGACCACATAGTTAAAAGTAAAGCACTCCTCAGCAAATGTAAAAAAAACAGAAATCACAACAAACTGTCTCTTAGACCACAGTGCAATAAATTAGATCTCAGGATTAAGAGACTCACTCAAAACTGCACCACTACATGGAAACTGAACAACTTGCTCCTGAATGACTACTGGGTAAATAACGAAATGAAGGCAGAAATAAAGATGTTCTTTGAAATCAATGAGAACAAAGATACAATGTACCAGAATCTCTGGGACACATTCAAAGCAGTGTGTAGAGGGAAATTCATAGCACTAAATGCCCACAGGAGAAAGCAGGAAAGATCTAAAATCGACACCCTAACATCACAATTAAAAGAACTAGAGAAGCAAGAGCAAACAAATTCAAAAGCTAGCAGAAGGCAGGAAATAACTAAGATCAGAGCAGAACTGAAGGAGATAGAGACATAAAAAACCCTTCAGAAAATTAATGAATCCAGGAGCTGGTTTTTTGAAAAGATCAACAAAATTGATAAGACTGCTAGCAAGACTAATAAAGAAGAAAAGAGAGAAGAATCAAATAGATGCAATAAAAAATGATAAAGGGGATATCACCACCTATCCCACAGAAATACAAACTACCATCAGAGAATACTATAAACACCTCTACGCAAATAAACTAGAAAATCTAGAAGAAATGGATGAATTCCTGGACACATACACCCTCCCAAGACTAAACCAGGAAGAAGCTGAATCTCTGAATACACCAATAACAGGCTCTGAAATTGAGGCCATAATTAATAGCCTAGCAACCAAAAAAAGTCTAGGACCAGACGGATTCACAGCCAAATTCTATCAGAGGTACAAAGAGGAGCTGGTACCATCCCTTCTGAAACTATTCCAATCAATAGAAAAAGAGGGAATACTCCCTAACTCATTTTATGAGGCCAGCATCATCCTGATACCAAAGCCTGGCAGAGACACAACAAAAAAAGAGAATTTTAGATCAATATTTCTGATGAACATCGATGCAAAAATCCTCAATAAAATACTGGCAAAGTGAATCCAGCAGCACATCAAAAAGCTTATCCACCACAATAAAGTCGGCTGTATCTATGGCATGCAAGGCTGCTTCAACATACGCAAATCAATAAATGCAATCCATCACATAAACAGAACCAATGACAAAAACCACATGATTATCTCAATAGATGCAGAAAAGGCCTTCGACAAAATTCAACAGCACTTCATGCTAAAAACTCTCAATAAACTAGATATTGATGGAACGTATCTCAAAATAATAAGAGCTATTTATGACAAACCCACAGCCAATATCATACTGAATGGACAAAAACTGGAAGCATTCCCTTTGAAAACTGGCACAAGACAGGGATGCCCTCTCTTACCACTCCTCTTCAATATAGTGTTGGAAGTTCTGGCCAGGGCAATCAGGCAAGAGAAAGAAATAAAGTGTATTCAATTAGGAAAAGGGGAAGTCAAATTGTCCCTGTTTGCAGATGACATGATTGTATATTTAGAAAACCCCATCATCTCAGCCCAAAATCTCCTTAAGCTGATAAGCAACTTCAGCAAAGTCTCAGGATAGAAAATCAATGTGCAAAAATCACAAGCATTCCTATGTACCAATAACAGACAAACGGAGAGCCAAATTATGAGTGAACTCCCATTCACAGCTGCTACAAAGAGAATAAAATACCTAGGAATCCAACTTACAAGGGATGTGAAGGACCTCTTCAAGGAGAACTACAAACCACTGCTCAACGAAATAAAAGAGGACACAAACAAATGGAAGAACATTCCATGCTCATGGGTAGGAAGAATCAATATTGTGAAAATGGCCATACTGCCCAAGATAATTTTATAGATTCAATGCCATCCCCATCAAGCTATCAATGACTTTCTTCACAGAATTGGAAAAAACTACTTTAAAGTTCATATGTAACCAAAAAAGAGCCCGCATTGCCAAGACAATCCTAAGCCAAAAGAACAAAGTTGGAGGCATCACGCTACCTGACTTCAAACTATACTACAAGGCTACAGTAACCAAAACAGCATGGTACTGGTACCAAAACAGAGATATAGACCAACGGAACAGAACATAGGTCTCAGAAATAATACCACACATCTACAACCATCTGATCTTTGACAAACCTGAGAAAAACAAGAAATGGGGAAAGGGTTTCCTGTTTAATAAATGGTGCTGGGAAAACTGGCTAGCCATATGTAGAAAGCTGAAACTGGATCCCTTCCTTACACTTTATACAAAAATTAATTCAAGATGGATTAAAGACTTAAATGTTGGACCTAAAACCATAAAAACCCTAGAAGAAAACCTAGGCAATACCATTCAAGACATACGCATGGGCAAAGACTTCATGAGTAAAACACCAAAAGCAATGGCAACAAAAGACAAAATAGACAAATGGGATCTAATTAAACTAAAGAGCCTCTGCACAGCAAAAGAAATGACCATCAGAGTGAACAGGCAACCTACAGAATGGGAGAAAATTTTTGCAATCTACCCATCTGACAAAGGGCTAATATCCAGAATCTACAAAGAACTTAAACAAATTTACAAGAAAAAAACAAACAACCTCATCAAAAAGTGGGCAAAGGATATGAACAGACACTTCTCAAAAAAAAAACATTTATGCAGCCAAGAGACACATGAAAAAAATGCTCATCATCACTGGTCATCAGATAAATGCAAATCAAAACCACAATGAGACACCATCTCACACCAGTTAGAATGGCAATCATTAAAGTCAGGGAACAAAAGATGCTGGAGAGGATGTGGAGAAATAGGAACACTTTTACGCTGTTGGTGAGAGCGTAAATTAGTTAAACCATTGTGGAAGACAGTGTGGCAATCCCTCAAGGATCTAGAACTAGAAATACCATTTGAGCCACCGATCCCATTACTGGGTATATACCCAAAGGATTATAAATCATGCTACTATAAAGACACATGCACACATATGTTTATTGTGGCACTATTCACAATAGCAAAGACTTGGAACCAACCCAAATGTCCATCAATGATAGACTAGATTAAGAAAATGTGGCACATATACACATGGAATACTATGCAGCCATAAAAAAGGATGAGTTCATGTCCTTTGCAGGGACATGGATGAAGCTGGAAACCATCATTCTCAGCAAACTATCACAAGGACAGAACACCAAACACCTCATGTTCTCACTCATAGGTGGGAACTGAACAATGAGAACACGTGGACACAGGGCGGGGAACATCACACTGGGGCCTGTCAAGGGGTGGGGGGCTGGGGGAGGAATAGCATTAGGAGGAATACCTAATGTAAATGATGAGTTAATGGGTACAGCAAAGCAACATGGCACATGTATACCTATGTAACAAACCTGCACGTTGTGCACATGTACCCTAGAAATTAAAGTAAAATTTAAAAAAATTTTAAAAAAAGGAGAAGCAGCAGCAGCAGATAAATATGGGATTTTGCCTAAAACTCAAGCTATTCAACATTCAGTGAGATAGAGATATGGCAAGGAAAGGTTACAAATGTCATCACTTTCTCTTTTATGAAACTATTGTCAGTATTTCATTAGTAATAATTATGCATTTTTTTCATTTTACAAATAGAAATGAATCTTTAAAAAAAAAAGAAAAATGTATGTATAGGTGGCTCTGGCCTGCAGATCTCAAGTTTTCTTCCTCTCTTTCAATTTCTGGTTGTATATCCAAAAAACACTCAACAGCTACAGATTTTAATCTTTGTAACATCTACAAAAATTAAACTCAAGGCTGCCTACTAGTAGCTTTTCCAGAGCAAACAGTTACATTCACATCACATTCACAGTGTAACATTCATGTCCATTATTAAATTATGGCTTATAGACACAGGAGACATTATCAAAAAGTGTTATGTTATACAAAAGGTTGAAATTAGCAAGAAGAAAAAAAGAAACAGTAAATAACAAAGAATAAACTATTTAGATGTGAGATTACATTTGTTTCAAGATATCAGCACTTGACTAATCAGCCAGCCTTTGTAGAGTTAGTGTGCACAGCAGTGAAGACTATTGTTTTGGTTTACCTTATACTGACTGTCCTTTCTTCTAGTAAGAGCACACCTTTCCCTCCAGAGCAGGCACATTACTCTATGTCAGGCCAGTGCCATCTCAAACCTGGTAAAGTGACTGGTCCAAAGGTGAGCAGATGACTCAAGCAAAACCAATTCAGATTTTCTCTGGGATAATACATGGCTATTGGGAGAGAGAATTTCTTTACAGGGGTTTTTATCCTGGGAACCAAAATATGGAGCTGTGTGAGGCAATCTGTTCCTTGTCACATAGAAGAAGGACCTCAGTAATAGGAGGGAATAAGAGCAACACATAGAACTGAGCATAGCTGAGAGAGATAGAACACTGACAATATTGCTTGAGACTCAGACTAGTTTGTTCCTGAAACCAAAATCACCTCTGGGGCTTCCAATATTGGAGCCAATAAATTATCTTTTTTATTTGTCTAACTGCTTTGAGTTGAGTTTATAACACTTCCAACTTCAAACAGTCGTAGGTTACAGCCAATCAGGCAACTTGAAACCATAAAAGAACAACTCTACCTGAGATTATCTAATTGAAGCTGTACATGCATGTGTCTTTCGGAAAGTTTGTTGAATTCTTTCTCCTGATTCGTTTTGAATGAACTATATTCCAATTTCACTGAAGAAAGCTCCTTGTCAGCAGAATGAAGGACTACTCGCAGGTCATGTACCTCACTTTTCAAAACTAAAAAACAAAGAAAACATATCCTCAGTAGGTTTCTTAAAGCAGACAAATAAATCTGATAGGTACTAGTCCCACAATTAGCAAAATCAAGTCGAAGAGACTATTTTAAGGAAAAATGTTAAAGAATTAAGTGGCGGGTACCTAGCAGCACTGAGATTTCTATTTTCTTCCTCTCCCTTGCACATGGTTTTTCGTAAATTTCTACTGAAATAGAAAGCATTAACATCTGTCCCTGACTTACAGGTCACTTGACTTTGCTAGATTTCTCCTGTAAAATGTGCTTCAAAACTCCTAATATAAGGGCAGACACAGTGGCTTATGCCTATAATCCCAGTACTTTGTGAGGCTGAGGCAGGCGAAATGCTTGAGGTCAGGAGTTCGAGACCAGACTGAGCAACATGGCAAAACCCTGTCTCTACCAAAAATACAAAAAATTAGCTGGCTGTGGTGGTGAGCACCTGTGGTCCCATCTACTCAGGAGGCTGAGGTGGGAGGATCGCTTGAGCCTGGGAGTTGGAGGTTACAGTGAGCCGAGATTGCACCCACTGCACTCCAGCCTGGGTGACAAAGTGAGACTCTGTCTCAAAACAAACAAACAAACAAAACTCTTAATATAAGAAAAAAAAATTAAAAGATGTAACATATTTTGAGTGAGCTCATCTTAGTTATTGAAAATCCCTTGGAAATTTGCCTAAACTTTCCAACATGGGTTAACTACTTCAGGTCTTCTAAGACAACTACAACTGCAAATAGTATTAGTTAACTTTTTAGTTCAAAGAAAATAGAATGGCTATCTCTTTTTGTTTTAGCTTTATTACAAACCACTGCAAATACTTTAATGAAGGGAAAAATAAAGTGAAAAAATTGGGAATCAAATGATATTCCCACATCTACAAACATATACAAATATATAACCTACGCTTTGTTAATATTAAAACATTCATGAATTCAAGACACTTCATTTTCAAAGCAGCTTATCTAAAACTTTAAGCAGGCTGGGCACAGTGGCTCACGCCTGTAATCCCAGCACTTTGGGAGGCCGAGGTGGGTGGATCACCTGAGGTCAGGAGTTCATGACCAGCCTGGCCAACATGGCGAAACCGTGTCTCTCCTAAAATTAGCCGGGCTTGGTGGTGCACGCCTATAATCCCAGCTACTTGGGAGGAGACAGGAGAACTGCTTGAACCCAGGAGCTGGAGGTTGCAGTGAGCCGCCGAGATCCCGCCACTGCGCTCCAGCCTGGGTGACAAAGCAAGACTCCACCTCAAAAAAAAAAAAAACAAAACAAACAAAACAAAAAAAAAATGACCAAAGAAAAAAAAAATTAGCCAGGCATGGTAATGCACTCCTGTAATCCCAGCTACTACTCAGGAGGCTGAGGTGGGGAATCGCTTGAACTCGGGAGGTGGAGGTTGCAGTGAGCCAAGATCATGCCACTGGACTCCTGCCTGGGTGACAAAGCGAGAGTCTGTGTCAAAAACAAACAAACAACAAAAAACTTTAAGCAAACATTTGTATCATTTGTTTGTGGGCAATGATAGAGAAATTTACCTTTTATGATATATTACTGTTACTTACCACTGCATGCAAACTGCAGTCTGGTTATCAAACAAACAACAACAACAAAGCAACCATCCAAAAACATAGGAACAGCATTTATTAATAAAAGTAAAAAGATATTGAGTTACAGTATTCCTTCAAGTCACAAAGCTCCTGATAGAATAACTTACAGTCATTTTTAGTTTGAGTCTCTTGAAGCTGCTTTTCAAGGACATTCAACTGTGAGAGAAGCTCTTCCTGCTGTTTGGTCCAATCAATTCTTTCTGATGAGAAAAGCTTTGGGAAAAAAGATAAATTTACTGGAAAAGGAATACTGGCATGCTAAGATGCACTCCAAATCATTAACCTGTTTCTTTTTTTTTTTTTGAGACAGAGTCTTGCTCTGTCACCCAGGCTGGAGTGCAGTGATGCGACCTCGGCTCACTTCAACCTCCGCCTCCTGGGTTCAAGTGATTCTCCTGCCTCAGCCTCCTGAGTAGCTGTGACTACAGACCCACGCCACCACGTCCAGCTAAGTTTTGTATTTTTAGTAGAGACGGGGTTTCGCCACCTTGGCCAGGCTGGTCTTGATCTCTTGACCTCAGACGATCCACCTGCCTTGGCTTCCCAAAGTGCTGGGATTACAGGTGTTAGCCACTGTGCCTGGCCCCATTAACCTGTCCCTGTTTTTAAAGTCTAGCTTTAACGTCTCTGACCAGAAGAAAATTGGCTGTCCCCATGAACTACAGTAAAGATGATTAACAACTATGAAGCCATGGACAGTCCATCTTGGTTTCTTCTAAACACATAGCAAGGGATCCATTTGCATTATTGACTAAGTCAGCCAGGTTTAGACTATGCATGCCTGTCTCATTATCAGAGCAGCATGCTAAGTAACAAGGTAGAGAATACAGCTCAAATAAGCCTTCACTAAGGCCATGTGACAACATTTTCTTTCTGTGATACTCTCTGAATATGTTTCATGCATACTCAAGGATGTTTGAGGATCCTTGAGGATGTTTCCTCAAGGTAACATTTGAGGGTACTTCATACATTTTCTGAGGCTGTGCTCTTGGTCTCACCTCCTGCATTTGGGTAGAATGATGTTCCAGTTTGTCAACATGCTGCTGAAGCTTTAGGTTTTTATGCTCTTCTTCATCCAGTTTGGCTTGAAGAGCACTCATTTGTTCCTGCAACACAAAAACTTCAGTCATCAAAATTTATTTTAATGGAATTCTCAAACATTCCACCATTTCGTCTGCATTAAAGAGACAACAAAACAAAACAAAACAAATTCAAAACCTCATATGAACAAAGGTATCAAAGGCCTGTTTGGAGCCAGAAAACATCATCAAAAGGTTATATACTAAATGATTGCTAATGTTTCAGATTTACACTTGTGGTCCATTAAAGTAGACACTTTGAAATACAAAGGAAAGAAGTGATTAAAATTAAAATCCTGGATTACATGACAGAGCCATCTTGAGACTTCTAAGAAGCTTCCTCAGGGCTGCAAGCGGTTACCTCCATGGCCTGGAAAGGACAAAATACTGGGGTTTGGGGTGGTCTGGCCCACTCCAACTTTTACTGGACAGTAGAAAACCTTTTTAAAAAATTAACAAACCATAAAAATTCTGGAATAATCAAATTTCACATTATTTCAAATATATTAAAAACTGTCTAAAATTTGATCTATAATAAGATTCTTTTAACTTTCTTTTTTTTTGAGACAGAGTTTCACTCTTGTTGCCCAGGCTAGAGTGCAGTGGCGCGATCTCGGCTCACTGCAACCTCCGCCTCCCGGGTTCAAGCAATTCTCCTGCCTCAGCCTCCCGAGTAGCTGGGATTACAGGCATGTACCACCACACCCGGCTAATTTTGTCTATTTAGTAGAGACGGGGTTTCACCATGTTGGTCAGGCTAGTCTCAAACTCTTGATCTCACGTGATATGCCTGCCTCAGCCTCCCAAAGTGCTGGGATTACAGGCGTGAGCCACCGCACCCGGCCTCTTTTAACTTTTTTTAGCAGATACAGCACTTTGCTATATAAACCAGTTCTGGAACTTGGAGCTAGTGGCCAACTGGTCATTTTATACACTAAGGAACAAAAACCCATGGAGAATGACTTGCTAAAGATTGTAAAGTAGAGACAAAAAGCAAGAGTGGGCTGATTTCCAATCTAGGAATGATTATAAACCCACACTTAAAAAGATATGATTTTAATACTAAGCACTTTTGAACACTGTAACTTATAGGGAATTAAAATAACAAAGCAAATGTATTTAAATGGATGTCCAGTTATTTATTTTTTCTAGAACAAAACATTACCTGCACTGTTCTAAGCTCTTCAGAAATGGCCTCAAAAGCTTGTTCATTCATCTCAGGAGGAACTGGCTCATTTAATATATCATTATCTAATATGCTAGAATTCTGAGTGTATAGAGAGCCAAAGCTTCCCATTTCAGGGCTTAATTTTGGTACTGGTCGGGAATGAAGTTGGTAGGCCTTGGTTGGTGTAGTTATAATCTGCAGCAAAAAATGATTATGGAAAACATTAGCACATATTTAAAAAGGGCATATTTAATAATTTTGTGAATAGAGAGGATAAAATTGAAATACTATTCATGAAAAGAAAGGAAAAAGTACCCTTGAGACACAGTACAAAAATGCCCAAGTGGAAATAAATTTATCAATTCAATGCAGTCCCAAGCAAAATTCTAATACAATTTTTAAAAATAAACTTAATGAGCTGATATCTATTTTCATACAAAGAATAAATGTACAAGAAGAGACAAGACAATTAAAAAGAACAAGCCAGGCATGGTGGTTCATGGCTATAATCCCAACACCGTGGGAGGCTGAGAAGGGGAGGATCACTTGAGGCCAGGAGTCCAAGACCAGGCTGGGCAACATAGTGAGATCCTGTCTCTACCAAAAAAAAAAATCATTTTAATTAGCTGGGCATGGTGTCCCAGGCCTGTAGTCCCAGCTACTTGGGAAGCTGAGGCAGGAGGATCCCCAGAGCCCAGGTGTTCTAGGTTGCAGTGAGCTATTATCACACCATTGCACTCCAGCCTGAGTGACAGACTGAGACCCTGTCTCTCAAAAAAATAAAAATAAAAAGAACAAATTAGGAAGACTTCCCCATCTGATATAAAAATACATAGGGGTATGGGAGTATGGTCATTAAAATAGTACATTACATTACAGTACATTATATTAAAACAGTACATTAGCTTATGTACATTCAAATAGAACACTGGGAGGAAATACAAAGTCCAGAAATAGAATTATTATTATTTTTTGAGACACAGTCTTGTTCTGTTGCCCAGGCTGGAGTGCAGTGGTGTAATCTTGGCTCACCACAACCTCTGCCTCCCAGGTTCAAGCAATTCTCCTGCCTCAGCCTCCCAAGTAGCTGGGACTACAGGCACACACCACCATGCCTGGTTAATTTTTGTAGTTTTAGTAGAGATGGGGTTTCACCATGTTGGCCAGGCTGGTCTCCAACTCCTGGCCTCAAGTGATCTGCCCGCTTTGGCCTCCCAAAGTGCTAGAATTACAGGCGTGAGACACCACACCCCGCCCAGAAATAGAATAATCTTTCTGTGGAAATTTTAGGTATCAGGAGTAGTTGAGACCAAAGGTGCACACCACCATGCTTGGCTAATTTAAATTTTTTTTTTTTTTGCAGAGGTAGGGTCTTACTATGTTGCCCAAGCTGGTCTTGAACTCCTAGATTCAAGCAATCCTCCTGCTTCTGCCTCCCCAAGTGTTAAGATTACAGGTGTGAGCCACTATGCCTAGCTGTATTACTTTTTTTAAGTTAAATCCCTTTCTCATACCATTCAAAAGAAAAACAGTGGATACACAAACACCTCAATGTAAAGCAAAATTAAAGGCAAAAAAGTCATAAAGATAAAAGGTCAATAAACCTGGCTACATCAAAAATATAAAACTTCTATATAACAAAAGCATCACATGCAAAGATGAAAGACAAGCAACATGATGGAGGAATATATTGGCAGTACACCTAACAAACAAATGCTTATTACATAAAAACAAAATCTGAAGAAAAATATAAAAAAACAATAGTTTTTCTTTTCAGGGAATAGGATATACAAATGGACATGAACATATGAAAAGATATTTGAAATTAGAGAAATGAGAATTAAAACCTTAACAACAAGATCTCATTTTTTACCCATCAGATGGTCAAACATTAACAAGCATGACAATCCCAGTTCCTGCGGACAGTGCTGGGAAAGGAGTGCATCTATGCATCTATGCTGCGGGAACAGGGCACTAGGAGGGAGCTTCAGCTTGACTCACTCAAATGCTAAGACATCCTAAAATGACCACTTCTCCTTTAACGGAATCCACCCCCAGAGAATGCACGCACTGGAAACCATCTACTTAAGCCATAGAAACCTAGGGTTAAAATGAGGTAGGTACCAGTTAATATGGAAAGATCCAAGGCATATCCCCCAAGGGGATATCCCTCATGGTGCTTCAAGCTCTATAATTCAAGCTCTATAATTCTTCTGTCCCTCAAAGGAGATGCCTTGGATCTTTCCACATTAACTGGTATGAGGCTCATAACCCTTGAGCCTCACGTTAACTGGTATGAGGCTCATATTCCTTGAGCCTCACATCCAAATGAGGCTCTAGGTACCAGTTAATGTGGAAAGATCTAAGGCATATCCCTGAGTTAACAAAAGCATATTGTGGAATAACACATGAAGAATGACCGTTTTTTTTTAAAAAAAAAAAAAAAAGCAAAACAATACACAATCTAGGAAACAACTCTATGTGTTTTCTCAGTCTGTATATATTAACAGTACAAAAATGCTAAGAAAAAGGATTAAACTACCTCCAGGGATTGTGGGGACAAAGGATTATATTAGATCCAGATTGGAAGTGATGCTGAAAAGGAATTTTAACTTTAACTTGAAATATGTGTCTTTCTTTTAAACAAAGAGAATGTATTCATATAGTAGTTGTCCAACTAAAACAACAACAAAGACTCTGAATTGCTATGCCCCTCCTGGCAAACCTAATCCTCTGAGTCCTGTTTGCTCAGTCATAAAAGGAAGAAGTAGGACGAGAATGCCGTGGTGCTTCAAGCTCTATAATTCCATTGTGCTAAGGGGCTACAGACACAGAATTATAAAACATTTGGCAGTATTCTGCAAGTATTTTTCAATAATTTCTTACAAAAACTTCAAAGACCACCTTTTTTAAAAAGCAACAGTAAAAAAAAATTCTGGTCAGGCATGGTGGCTCACACCTGTAATCCTAGTGCTCTGGGAGGCTGAGGCTCCAGGAGGATCACTTGAAGCCAGGAGTTCAAGGCTGCAGTGAGCCATGATCATGCCACTGCACTCCAGCCTGAGTGACAGAGCAAGACTCTGTCTCTAAAAAACAAAACCAAAAATAAATAAATAAAATAAATCAAAATTTAAAAATAATTTTTAAATTTCTACCTGTATAGGAAAAAACCCAGCATTTTCCAGGTTGAATAAATCATTATATATCCACATAACATTCTTGAGCTGCTGCCAAAACAAATAAAAAATCAAAACAGAAACAAAAAGGGGGAGAACATTTTTTCCCCTGCAGACATGGGACAAACTCTAAAATATTGCTTTAAAACACACACACACACACACACACCCTCAAGCTGTAGAATGATGTGTATGTTATGCCACCATTTGTGTAAAGTGAGAAAATACTTGGTGACATTGATTGACTTGGTGACACTGATTGCCTCCAGTTCTTGGTTGGCTGGAAGAACAACAGAAGGAAAGAGATTTGCTACTAAATGCCTTTGAAAATTTCAGTCACAGGCTGGGCGCGGTGGCTCACACCTATAATCCCAGCACTTTGGGAGGCGAGACGGGCGGATCACCTGAGGTCAGGAGTTCGAGACTAGCCTGGCCAACATGGTGAAACCTCGTCTCTACTAAAAATACAAAAATCAGCTGGGTGTTGGGGCAGGCGCCTGGAATCCCAACTACTCGGGAGGCAGAGGCAGGAGAATCGCTTGAACCCAGGAAGCAGAGGTTGCAGTGAGCCAAGATCGTGCCACTGCACTCCAACCTGGGCAACAAGAGCAAAACTCCGTCTCAAAAAAAAAAGAAAAGAAAGGAAATTTCAGTCACATAAATTACCTATTCAAATGAATACAAGTAGTCTTCCATTAAGTGACACAAAAAGCACCACTACTAAAAATAATCATTATAAATAAACATCTATTTATATTCTAAGACATATAAGGAAAGGTTTTCGGTCTTCTCTATTTCTTTCTTTTATTGAAAAGAACTTGAGGCCAGCGCAGTGGCTCTTGCCTGTAATCCTAGCACTTTGGGAGGCCGAGGCAGGCAGATCACGAGGTCATGAGTTCGAGACCAGCCTGGCCAACATGGCGAAACCCCATCTCTACTGAAAATACAAAAATTATCCGGGCATGGTGGCAGGCGCCTGTAATCCCAGCTACTCGGGAGGCTGAGGCAGGAGAATCGCTTGAACCTGGGAGGCGGAGGTTGCAGTGAGCTGAGATTGCACCACTGCACTCCAGCCTGGCCGACAGAGCAAGACTCTGTCTTAAAAAAAAGAAAAGAAAAGAAAAGAACTTGAATTCAAGCTGGACTTGAATTCCTGGGCTCAAGCAATCCTCTTGCCTCAACCTCCCAAACAGCCGGGACTACAGGCCTGCACCACCACACCCAGCTAAGGAAAAAATTTTTTAACCTTCAAAAAATTGGATACAAAAGCTGAAATCAGTATCACCTCCTCAACCTTTTGTTTTCCTTGTGTACTTCCTTTCTCTCTCCTCATTCTCAGTTGTTCACACATTTTTTTTTCTTTTATGAGGGATGTGGTTATTTAGGACAAAACCCTCTCATGTTATTTCCAGTGGCACCTGTGATCCCTTAGCGGTCTTTGCCCATTAGGGTTTCTATTCTACTGAAAACTTTGAGGACATGTTATATTGTAGTAATAGCTGCCATTTTACTGATATCTACAAGGTACCAGGCAGCTTATCTATCTCATTTAGTACTCTAAAACTCTGCAAGTAAATTACCTTCATTTCCAATTTAGAGAAAAGAAAGATAAGGCTCAGAAGTTAGGAAACCCTGACTAAAGTTAATGGCACATTCGAATTTGATTGCAAATGCTGAATTCTTTCCTACCCCACCCTACCACTGGGGGGATACATCAGTGGGATTGCTAGCAGTAACCCAAAGACCAGTGTGACACCGGTGTTAATTACCTGCATGGGATGTCATCTGCATCTGGAGATAGACCATGCAGACTCTCTCCATTATTAATAAAATGACATTGCACTGATTTAAGGTGGAGGTATTGTTCAGATGACCTACCTTAAGTGTTTCAGCATGAATTTTATTCAGCTGAGAAACTTCTTGCCGCTTGCAGGCTTTTGTTGCTTCCAAAAGGTTTTCAAGATTAAGGTTCGCTTTTTGCAAAGACTGAAGCTCTGATTCCAATTCTAGCTGCCTTTTCCTAATAGATATTGTAAAACGGAGTATTTCAGGTAATAAGTAATGTCAAACATTTATAGAATACTTTACAGTTTATGCTCTCACATAACTTTATAGTTATCTCTAAATCAGAGATATTCTCTATTCTCTCAGATTATTCCCATCATTCTCCAGTTCAGTAAACTACAGCTCAGAGACTGTTTAAGGGATTCAACTAGTAAATGGTAGGGCTCAAATTCAAAAGCCCAAACAAATAGTCCATGATTATACCATATGTGATATGTCATTTTTGAACCAAACATTTGTTTATATTTTAGGGTAAGATTGATCTTAGTTATAATATGAATGTGATTTATCTTTGTTTTTACATAGTGAGAATCAAGTAGGAATATTAACAAACCTATACTTCCTAAAAGTCTTAACAACTCTGATTATCAAATTTAAATTTAAATAATTTACTATGCAAGTTCAATAGACTCTCAACAGGAAAAAACTGCTTAAAACACCTGTATTACCTAGTTCATTGAATATATTAGTAAAGAGCTAGAAGCATGCTCTTTCTCTTCATGTCAAAGTAGTTGCTGCTATGAGAGTTTAATATTTAAAGTAAAATGCCCAATTGAATTATCGATATTAACACTACAGCAAATGAACACTGAAAGAAAATAAGTGTGCATGCATGTGTATTTAGACTTTACCTAGTAAGTTCTTTGAATTCTTCATATTCTTGCTTTGAATTATTCAGCTCTGTCTGAATTTGCAGGAGTTGTGCTTTTAACTTCTCAGTGTTTGCAAACAAACATGGCTCTTTCTGAGCTTTAGGTGAAAATCCTTGCTGATCTGTTAATAAGAAAACAATCTCAGTCTTTTTTTTTTTTTTTCTGAGACAGGGCCTCACTATGTTGCCCAGGCTAGAGTGCAGTGGCTATTCACAAGCATGATCATAGTGTACTAAAGCCCCAAATTCTGGTCTCAAGTGAACCCCCTGCTTTAGCCTCCCAAATAGTTGGGACTACAGGTGCATGCCACCATGCCTAGCTTTACAACTTCAGTGTTTGACAAGCAAAAATAACAGGACACATTTTCTAAGTTCTCTGTCAGGTATCAATTTTGGGCCACAAGGAGGAAAAGTGAGAAATGGGTTGGAAAGCGAGCCCTAAAATACAAAAGCTTATAACTCAGCAGAAGGCACAGGATGTGACACAGTGTGCCAAAGGGGATTAGAAGTCATGTTTAAGAAGCAGATGCCACAGGATGGAGAAGTGTAGTTAAGGCAACACCTTTCCCATTAGGAGAAAGAACAAACAATGACGAAAGTGTGGCACGCCTAATGCTAGACAGAGAAACAGCAGCCAGTGAATCTTGTAGGAATTAGTGCTAGCAGCTAATGTTAACAGCCAAGGAATTATTTAGAAAAGGAAACAAATAGCAAGGGCAGCAGGTTGTAAGAACCCGGTATCATCTATCAGGTAGAAAATATTAATTTTCAGGAAATGCCTAGAACACTGAATATGTTGAAGAGAGTCCACTGAGTTTCAGTGTGGGAAAAGATCATGTAAAAGTTGTTTAGAGAATGATCAATGTTTAGAAACTGATGAGATCCAGACATTAGTATCTTCTGAAGGGAGTAAGTCAAGGTATTATGGAGGCCACAACAAAATGGCCAACAAAATAAAGGGCACTGTAGGGAAAAGTAGTTTAAATAAAACAGAAAACCTAAGTCAGGCGTTGGGGCTCACATCTGTAATCCCAGCACTTTGGGAGGCCGAAGTGGGTGGATCATTTGAAGCCAGAAGTTCAAGACCAGCCTGGCCAACATGGTGAAACCCCATCTCTACCAAAAATACAAAAATTGGCTCGGTGTGGTGGTGTGTGACTGTAATCCCAGGAGGGAGCCTGAGGCAGGAGAATTGCTTGAATCCAGGAGGTGGAGGTTGCAGTGAGCCGAGATCGCACCACTGCACTACAGCCTGGGTGACAGAGTGAGACTCCATCTCAAAAAAAACAACAGAAAACCTGATAGTAATTTTGCATCTAATATCTTAAGTCTCTCCCCAACCCAGTTACTGTGACTCTTATTATTCTATTCAGTCATAACAGAATGGAAGAAGGCTTAAAAAATGAAATTTTAAAAAGCAAAGAGACAGTCTTCTTTATGAATGCAGAATAAAAACATTAGAACTTTTTCAATTTCAACCTAAAAGGAAACCAAGGCCAAGTCTATGATAAAAGACCGTGAAAATATTAACTCTAAGACTGGGGCAAACACAGACTTTGTTACCAAATCCCAGGGTATGAACACCAACAGCTGTCAAGACTGTAAGGCAGATTTAGTATTAACTAAACCACTTTTCACATAGTATGCAAACTTATGAAAGTAGTATGTAACTAGAGACTGCATACATTGGTAACCACAATACCAGGACCCAAACACAACATCAGGACCCAAACACTGTGCTATGAGTCTGACCTTTCTATATCTCTTATACTGCACAGGACTAATTAGATTGATAAACATTTCAACTCTATTTTTATTCACGTTTGATTAGTTAAAGACTTTTCATTTCAAATACTTTAAACAGGAAAATTTAGTAAAAATTTAACATAGTATCTGAATCAATCTTTTTATCAATAAAACAAATACAATGAGTATTTTCTCGTTATATCTATTAGCTTACGTAGTTTATGCTCTGTGATTTTTGAGAAAAAGAAAAGTTTAGTAAATACCTTTCTATAATATAAAAGAATATGTGTATAAGACATTAGCATAGCAGGCCTGGAGGCTAAAATGAAGACCCTAGTCACAAGGCACTAAAAATGCTCTTTAAAACAGCCCCTTCCTACATGGCACGTATATACAACAATCATTTCTTACTTTTGTCACTTTTCTCCATGCCACTTATTTCAGAGAAAGCTTTTTCTAGTTTTGCAATGGTCTGGGCATCCATTTCTTGAGCTCTTTTCACAGGCTCTAATAATCTCAGTCTTCTATTCTCCTCCCTGAGGGAATGATTTTCCATAGCATACTTTGCAACTCTGGGGTGGTGCTCTATCTGTGACATAGAAGAATTACACGCATTATATATTTACAAACATTTCCTTAGTGAATTAGTTCCTCTAAAAAGCCATTAGAAAACTAGGTATGCACATGCACTACTGGTGGTACCCTTCTGCAACCACCATGGAAAGCAACTTGGCATTTGTGATCAGTTTGAAAATATGCATGTCCTGTAACTCTCCTATTCTCAGTTGGAGTCTAGACCCTTGAAATGTTCACCCACCTAAGGAGGTAAGCACAAGGGTGTACATTGTGGCAGGCTTTTCATGCAAAGGAGACTAGTTAAATCAACACACTGAAAAGAACAAGGACCAAATTAATCTTGTCAACCAAGATTAACTGAAAAAGGCGAAGTGCAAAAAAGTGTACAGGAGAAACAAAAGTACAAATATCCACCCATATTAGTTTGAATATTCATTAAAAACTCCAGAGAGATAAACAAGAAGCTGATAAGAGATTTTGGGTTTTCCCACAATGTACCTGTATGACCTATCCATTCTCCCTAAGGAAAAGGAAAAACAACAAAAACGTTAAAAGGCACAACCCTAAAGAGCCTACTGACTCAGATAACCACAACTGCCCACTGGGTGAAATTCTGCGTGGCCTGCTAGAGTAGCATACTATGTAGCAATGTCACCACAACTTCTTCCTTCTCCCCTTCTCTTCCCTTTAACTATTTTAAAAAGACAGGTAAAGGAATTATGCAATCACACTGTCAGAAGAATTCACTTAAAACAATTTCCATTGTATTAAAGAACAAGTACTTGCTGACAAACTTAGATTTGCTTTGAACTTCTTTTATTTTTAGAAATATTATAGATGCCGTATACTCACTTGTTCTCGCAGAGTTTGAATCTCATTCCTTAATTCTGAGAGCAAACGATCCTGCTCCTCAGGCAGAAAACCTCCCCGGGATTCCTTGTGGAGCTTTTCCAAGCGTATTATTTGATCCTCTCGGAATTTCACAATCATTTTATTAGATTGAATAAATTTTTCCTTTTTGAGGGTGAGGTCTTCTAATTGGGTAACTTTTTCTATCAGAGACTTAAAGAAATTCATAATTTGGTTAAACATGAAAAATAATTTGACTTCCCTAAATTTTCGTAAGTCCAGCAACAAATACTAATTTCATATTTAATCTTAAAGGCAAAATTTGATTTTTCATAGCCTTCCATTACTTTATTGACTTGGTATTATTTATTTCACTTAGTAAGGCAATAAAAACCACACAGCAAAAAACTAACTATCTTGAATCTCCTTTATTACTAATTCCATTTCCTACCTTCTTTTCCTGTTCAGATTTCTTAAAGAATAACATTGCTTCCTGGAAATACTCCATATAGTTAGTCTTCTTTTTGTCTGTAATTGATCCAATAAGAAAGGGAAGATGAAAAAAAATATTTATCACATTGCAAAACCAAGAGAACAGATAGCCTTTAATTGATTGCTCTCAACTAATCTAAAAGAATGAGACTGTGGCCGGGCACAGTGGCTCATGCCTGTAATCCCAGCACTTTAGGAGGCTGAAGCAGACGGATATCTTTCTTGAGGTCAGCAGTTCGAGACCAGCCTGGCCAACATGGTGAGACCCCCCCCTCCCGCCGCCCCCGATCTCTACTAAAAATACAAAAAAATTAGCTGGGCATGGTGGCGTGGGTCTGTAGTCACAGCTACTCAGGAGGCTGAGGCAGGAGAATCGCTTGAACCCAGGAGGTAGAGGTTGCAGTGAGCTGAGATCACACTGCTTCACTCCAGCCTGGGTGACAAAGAGAGACTGCGTCTCAAAAAAAAAAAAAACAATGAGACCGTCATCACTAGATCACGGATTTCAAATTAACCATTCCACATATTAGTCGTTCTTCAAAGAATAAGTTTCTCTTTATTTAGTTAATATGCACAATAGATTACACATGGTGTAACAGAAGTAGAAGTAGATTTTTTAAAAAATTAGAGGAGTCCCAGGGTGCTGTGCACCTCTTAAGATCTGTTAATAATTCACCCTCTTGCCTTTATGGATTTCCAGTTAATTAATTCTCTACTAGCTATTCTTTGAAGAAAAATAAGTCTCTCTTATCCTATAGTAAACATATATAGATTACATATGCTACGTAGAAGTAGATCTAAATGAAATTAATCTCTTTTTAGCACTTATACATTATTCAAAATTATTTTAATTCCCCCTTCTCACTGCCTATGGTATCTGTATCTGATTATAAACAAACCACTATGTTCCTATATAGGAGAAATAAGCAGAAAGAGATACCTGCAGAAAAATTTGGGTTGCCTTATTGTGTTGTGTCTATCACCAAGGGCTCTTAAACTATTATTTGTACAGTCTTCCCCAAGATAAAGGACTGTGTGCTCATCCTACCTCTGGTCAGGAAGCTTTCTGGTGGTGTCTGTCCTGAAGCAAGCTCCGCCAGTTGTTCTTTGAGCCTCTTCACTTCAGCTTGGAGCTGGCTCACATTTCCTTGGGTGTCTTCATTTACTACTGCCTGTTCAGGAATTTTTTAAAAAGCATTAAAATAATGCTTTTTGAGTAGTATAGTCCTGTGTTTACATTTGTTTGGTATGATTTGTAGTGATGAACATCAAACAAAACTTCAAGACCACATCATAGTCAAAAGGACACAGGAATCACAGTGTGCTCAAGTGGGGAGGAAGCTTCCTTTTCTTGTGCCTTCAGACCTGGAGCCAGAGAGAGACAGCCCCAGCCAGGCTCTCTGCCCCCCAGCTGACTAGCCCTGAGCTTTTAGGCTGGGTCACCCTTAGGATCCGGGTGTGTTCACCTAATACTTCTTTCCCTGAGAACGACAGCCTTCCCCCACCCTCCCAATGGAGAAGAGCCAATACCTCAGTGAGTATCATTTCCCTTCTTTCCTAGCTCCCTACGGGGAAGGAGCCTAGCCTCTAAGTGCATGATGACTTGCAGGGTGGGCTTGAGCTTGGCAGAAGCAACCTTCTCCAGAGGAATCCGACCTTTATTTTTTAACAGCCCTCTTGGAAGGAGGGGTTGGTTTGACACTTCCTTTTTTTTTTTTTTTTTAATTTTTTACCACACTAAATGATTATCTTCATTTTCTTAAAGAAATGTCTTATTTAGGACAACTTCTAAAAGGCTAAAGGACTCACAAACAAAATGTGCCACTGTGGGGCAGGATGTCAAGAGTGGGGCAGGTCACACATGTGCGCCACTGCACTCCAGCCTGTTGACAGAGCGAGACTCTATCTCAAAAAAAAAAAAAAAGTTGATTAATTAAAAAAATAAAGCTTTAAAAAGGTCCACAAAGCCTAAAGGGTGATAACGAGTGCCAACAGCTGAGTACCAACCAGGTCAGAGGACTCAGTTGTGAAATACTCAGTACTCCAGCAAGGAAAAAACACCCTGTGACAGCCCCAAGGTCTTCTGTATTCTCGCTGTAAGCCCAATTTGCTCACGGAAAAATTTAAATAGCACATCCTTAAACAAGTCCCAGATACTCTGGCACTTTCCACTGATAGGCTGCAAAGGGCTTACCATTGAGAGTGACTAGTAGAAGGCTCTTGGTTTTGTTCTTTTGTGTGTTAAGCAGCCATTTCCAGTTGCTTCTGATTCTTATGGCCAGCCTCATTACAAGGTACTACTGCACTTCTGACATCACTGTCCCATCAGTGACTTCATAATTCTAATTATTGCTGCAGTTCTATATCTCCAAAGACTTCTAGTAAATCTTAAGAGACTTAGGGTCAGGAAGCTCTAATGATTTTTCCTCCTCATCTTACTAGTACTCCATAGTCCAAGGAAATAAAATAAATGACTAGATCTATAGTCTTCTGATTTACCCAGGGAAAGGGGCAACATGGACCTCCTGATTTACAGCCAGTTGGTCTGAAAGCACAGATAGGACAAGCTGGGGCTTGCAATTGGCATCAGAAGTTGGGCGCAGTCTTGTAGGACTGAGCCCTGAACCTGTGAGATCTCACCCTATCTCCAGACATAAAGTGTCAGGATGGAACTGAATCAGAAGACACTCAGCTGATGTCTGCTGCAGAACTGATTGATTGGCTGTTGGCAGGAAGAAAGACTCACATACTTAATTTGCTTTCCCTTAAGAAAAAATTTGTCAGCTGGGTACAGTGGTTCACACCTGTAATCCCAGCACTTTGAAAGGATGAGGCAGGAGGACTGCTTGAACCTAGGAGTTTGAGACGAGCCTGGGCAACAAAGTGAGATCCTACCTGTACAAAAAATAAAAAAATTAAGGCCAAGGCAGACGGATCACGAGGTCAGGAGATCGAGATCATCCTGGCTAACACGGTGAAATCCCGTCTCTACTAAAAAATACAAAAAATTAGCCGGGCGTGGTGGTGGGCGCCTGTAGTCCCAGCTGAGCAGAGATCGCACCACTGCACTCTAGCCTGGGTGACAGAGCAAGACTCTGTCTCAAAAAAATAAATAAATAAAAAATAAATAAAATAAAAATTAAAAAAATAAAAAAATTAGCCTGGCATGGTGCTGCATGCCTGTAGTTCCAGCTACACAGGAGGCTGAGGCAGGAGGATCGCTTGAGCCCAGGAAGTTGAGGCTAGAGTGAGCTGTGTTTGCACCACTGCACTCCAGCCTGGGTGACACAGCAAGACTGTGTCTCAAAAAAAAAGAAAAAACTAGTCAAGCAATAACAACCATAAGATCTAACCTAGGTCTCTAATTACATGTGTGATATAGAAGGGTAGGAAAGATAAAATAGAAATTTTGCATACAATGAGAAATAAATAAAAGTTAATGTTAATATTAGGGCAATCACAAAAATGGCATACTGTAAGCTTTAGTATTTTTCTCATTTATTTAATGAAGTATACGCCAGTATTTTACCTTGTTTTTAATCAGCTTGGCTCTTTGAGCAAAGTTAAGTGTTGATAGGGTTTCCCCAAAACACCTGGATCCAGGATGAACATTTGCAATTATGGCTGTTTTGGCATTACCTCCAAGGGAATCCTGTTTAATGATAGGAATGAACATATTTTCGGTGAGAAATCACAAGACCTTTTTAAGCAAAGAAAATGTATACTCTTGCCACCAAGGCTGAGAGACTGTCCCACTATCAACTTTAGCATAACCAAAAGGAGCCCAGGAACCCAAGGATCTACTTTACCCGTAGTAAGAAGGTAAGTTTGGAGTCTCTGTAGCAAACATGTCTCTGTTTTCCATTACCCACGTCGACAAGTGCTGTAATCACTTGGCCCAGGCAGCTCAATGATCGATTTATGTTACCTGCTTCCTAAAGTGTTGACGGAAAAGAACAAAAATTTAGGTACGTTGGTTACTCTTTGGTATTTTGAATGAAAATATATCTAGCAGAGGAAAATTCTGGATGAAAAGGCAAGTCAGGGACAATGTTAATAAAGAACAACTATTCAACAAATAAAAAAGAAGTGCTGAACTATCCCTAACCTTTTCCTATTTGATGTACACTGTAATTTTAGTATTAGAAGACAAACACAGGCTGGCACTGTGGCTCATGCTAGTCATCCCAGCACTTTGGGAGGCCGAGGTGGGCAGGTTGCTTGAGCTCAGGAGTTGGATACCAGCCTGGGCAACATGGCAAAACCCCATCTCTACAAAGAAATACAAAAAACTGCTGGGCATGGTGGCACATGCCTGTAGTCCCAGCTACTTGGGAGGCTGAGGTGGGAGGATCACTTGAGCTTGGGAGGTGGAGGTTGCAGTGAGCTGAGATTGTGCCATTGCACTACAACCTGGGTGACAGAGTGAGACCCTCTCTCAAAAACAACAACAAAAAAAGACAAACACAAAAATCATGCAAAGAAAAAAAATATTAATGTCACTTCATGATTGTAATAGTTTGAAACCGAGCTATAAAGACCAGAAAAAAATAGGGAAAAAAAAGCTAGAGTAGTGCATTAATAGGTACTTTTTTCAATCCTTTTATGCTAAAATATTTAAGGGTATAATGCCTAATAACTCACCCATACAGCCCCCAAAGCCACTGATGAACTTATTTGAGGAGAATATTCAGTTTAATTCTGTAAAGGATAATAAAAACTACTTTAAAACAGAAGCTTGGTGGGGGGAAAAAATGAGCTAAATACGTTACATTAGATTTTTACTGTAGGTAGCATATTTTGAAAACTGGGTCTGCAGTGGAAGGAGTATACAAAAAAGAGAAAAAGTCAAAATTATAATGCAAGATGTACTGAATTCAGAGTCACTGCTGTTATCATTCAGTAAATCAGAAAGGTGGTTAGTGGCATGGTTGAGAGTACTGTAGCAGCTCGGTTTGAATCTCAGCTCTACCTTTATTAGCTGTGTGACTTCGGTTTCTTTAACTGTAAAATAGAAAGAATAGCACCTACTTCCCAGAGTTGTTGGGAAGGTTAAATGAATTAATATATGTAAAGCATTTTAGAACAGACTTGGTATATGTCCTATTATAAGCATATGCTTTTTTTGACACAGAGTCTCACTCTGTCACCCAGGTTGGAGCACAGTGGCACAATCACAGCTCACTGCAATCTCGACCTCCTGGGTTCGAGGGATCCTCCCACCTCAGCCTCCCAGGTGCTAGGATTACAGGCATAAGCCACCATGCTCAACCCATATGCTATATTTATTAAGCCTCATATCTCAATAGAAATATGAGCTTTAGGCTGGGCGTGGTGGCTAACGCCTGTAATCCCAACACTTTGGGAGGCCAAGGAGGGTGGATCACCTGAGGTCAGGAGTTCAAGACCAGCCTGGCCAAAATGGTGAAACCCCATCTCTATTAAAAATACAAAATATTAGCTGGGTGTGGTGGTGGGCGCCTGTAATCTCAGCTACTTGGGAGGCTGAGGCAGAAGAACTGCTTGAACCAGAGAGGCAGAGGTTGCAGTAAGCCGAGATCATGCCACTGCACTCCAGCTGGGTGACAGAGTGAGACTGTCTCAAAACAAAAAAATATGAGCTTCAGATTGCCTGAAACTGCCTCAAATGTAGGTCAGGCGACTCAAATCCTCACTTTTAATGAAAAAAGTAGATCTCTTCCCTCATCCTTTCCAATTCCTCTCCCCTTGCCCATGTATATTCTAAACTATAGACTCTACAAATATTTTATTGACAATTCGTATTACTATATATATATATATATAAACACATATTGACAATACATATTACATAGAACCTCTGGTCCCACTGTTGATACCTTAGCCTAGGACTAGATACTTAACCCTTCATACCTGAAATATTAAACAGCGTAAGTGGTCATCTTTTTCTGTGGGCTCTCCCTTCTAAAATCTTAACAGCAGTGGGTCAGATGACTAAGTTTCTATAAAACAGGCTTTCTTCATGAATCACTTAGTTGCTAAGAAATGTTAAGTGTTTCCCAGTATTCGCAGAGTTGATACAAACTTGGCCTGGCACTCCTGGTCCTTGATAATCCGGGCCTGCTTGCCTCTCTAACCAACCCATCCATTGAGCCATGCTGAAATGCCAAATGCTACACTCATTCTGCATCCACAATAACCCTTGAGATGCCCCCCTGCCAGGCATGCATTTCCTGTTTCTCTCTCCCTACCGAAATCCTTCACAAGTCAAGAACTACTTCTTTTCCACATGTTCCACAAGCAGTCCATATTGCACCCTTCTTCCTCTGACCCCTGTTGTCTCTTGTACCCTTATCCCCTCTGGTATGAATTAAAACATTTTTGCTACTGACAGACTTGCCCTATCCCATCTATGTTCACTGTTCCACAAAAGAAATCTCTGTTCCTTTTCAATAGGAACAATTTCTTATTTCTTTGCCACCCTCAAAACACTTAGCTTGGTATGGTCATATATCAGTTAACAACACGGATACATTTTTTTTTCTGAGACAGAGTCTCTCTCTGTCACCCAGACTGGCGTGCAGTGGCGCGATCTCAGCTCACTGCAACCTCGGCCTCCCAGGTTCAAGTGATTCTCCTGCCTCAGTCTCCCAAGTAGCTGGGACTACAGGCGCGCATCACCACGCCCAGCTGACTTTTGTATTTTTTTAGTAGAGACGGGATTTCACCACGTTGGCCAGGATGGTCTCGATCTCCTGACCTCGTGATCTACCTGCCTCAGCTTCCCAAAGTGCTGGGATTACAGGTGTGAGCCACCGCGCCCGGCTAACAGGGGTACATTTTAAGAAATGTGCTGTTAGGAAATTTGATTGTTTTGTGGGCATCATAGAATATACTTATGCAAACCGAGATGGTATAGCCTACAACATACCTAAGCCATGTGGTATAGCTATTATACTCTTAAGGGACCCCCATCATAAATGCAGTTCCTCATTGACTGAGACACTGTCATGCATCACGACTGTATTGACTGCTAGTAAGAACTCACACACAAGTTGAAGACCATAATTTCATTCTTACCTTCAATCTCATCCCTTCTGCATGGGTATCTTTTTGCCTTTCAGATCCTGCTAAATCCACCAGGTTGAGTAGGGAGGTCCGTATATTCACAATCTCATTACTTTTCTCCATTGACTCTATTGTAATTGTAAAGACGGCATGAGACCTAGACGATTCTCTGTTCATTGATGTTGATGCCACACGTCTATTCCTCCATCCTCCAGACAACACCTATGCAAAAGGAAAACATATTAAAAGAAATGAGAGGACCAGTTACAGTGGCTTATGCCTGTAATCCTAGCAGTTTGGGAGGCCATGTCTGGAGGATCACTTGTGGATAGGAATTCAAGACCAGCCTGACCTACATAGTGTGAGACCTCACCTCTACAAAAAATAATAATTTGCTATGTACAGTGGCAGGAACCTGTAGTCCTAGCTACTCGGGAGGCTGAGGTGGGAAGATCTCTTGAGCCCAGGAATTCAAGGCTGCAGTGAGCCATGATTGTGCCACTGCACTCCAGCCTGAGCAGCAGGGCAAGATCCTATCTTAAAAAAAAAAAAAAAAGGAAAAGAGAAAAAAAAAGGAACAAGAATAGGTACACTTAAAATGTAAAATAAGCACTTGAGAATCACTCATTTTATTATGAAAAATACTAACATACAGCTAATTATCTACTTTCATAGGGAAAAAGAAATATATTTACATAAAGCATATTTTCTATTTAGAACAGGGGTGAGGAGTATCTATTGCCTTCCATTGTTATCTAGCTTTATAAGATAAATTATATTATCCCAAGTTCCAAATGGTACACAACAGCCACCAAAATCAGTAGGAAATTTGTAAAGGGTGGTGAGAAAGATTACTGGTCCATTAAGGAATAAGCTGAAGTTATTTTCCTTTCCTTTGTGTTCCCTTTCCACATTACAGAAACAGAACAAACAGGAAATCAGAGCGCATAGGATCTAGAACTGGTTTTGCCACGCTTTATTTGTGTTAACCTAATGTAAATCACAAAACCTCTCTGAACCCATTTCTTTACCTAGAAAATGAGAATGTTGGACAGGAAAAATCTGTAAATTATCTTTAAGCCCAAAGTTTTGTAAGCTTTTGGTCTACAAAGTATTTTTTCCCTTCTATTCCCTATGGCAAGCAGGATACATGAAAGTTCAGAATGCAGGCTCTGGAATCAGATGCATATGAGTTCAAACCATGGCTCCACTATTTACTAGGCGAGGTCTGGGGCCAGCTGAACCTTTTCAAGCCTCAGCCTTCATATTTGTAAAATGGGAATATGGGTACCTATCCCATAGAACAGAACATATAAGTTTTAGGTGCATATGAATCATCTACAGATGTTGTTAAAATTCAGATTCAGATTCAGTGTGAGGTGGGGCCTGAGATTTTGCATTTCTAACAAGCTCTCAGGTGATGCTGATGTTCTGAGGACCACATTTTGGGTAGGAGGGTAACAGTATATATAGGGTAAAATGGGGAAATTAGTGTCTTTATCTCAAAGGGCATATTGAAAATTAAGTAAAATAATGTATACAAAAGAAGTTAGCACAGTGCTTGGCACCTTCACTCAATAAATCATAGCTGTTGGCAGGGCACGGTGGCTCACGCCTGTAATTCCAGCACTTTGGGAGGCCCAGGTGGGTGGATCATGAGGTCAGGAGACCGAGACCAGTCTGGCTAACACGGTGAAACCCCGTCTCCGCTAAAAATATAAAAAATTAGCCGGGTGTGGTGGCATGCACCTGTAGTCCCAGCTACTCGGGAGGCTGAGGCAGGAGAATCGCTTGAACCCGGGAGGTAGAAGTTGCAGTGAGCCAAGATCGGGCCATTCCGCTCCAGCCTGGGCAACAGAGACTCTGTCTCATCACAAAAAAAAAAAAAAAATTCGTAGCTGTTATAACCCTATTAATCAGCAACAGTATAAAACTGAAATTATTTGTATCTTTTTTCTTTTTTTTAAGACAGAGTCTCACTTTGTTACCCAGGCTGGAGTGTAGTGACATGTTCATGTCTCACTGAAATCTCTGCCTCCCAGGCTCAAATGATCCTCCCACCTCAGCCTCCAGAGTAGGTGGGAGTACAGGCATGCATCACCATGCCTAATTTTTTTGTATTTTTAATAGAGACAGGGTTTCATCATGTTGGCCAGGCTGGTCTTGAACTCCTGACCTCAAGTGATCCACCACCTTGGCCTCCCAAAGAGGCTGGGATTACAGGAGTAAGCCACTGCGCCCAGCTATTTGTATCTGTTATGTTTCTTGGATAGTACTTTATGCTTTCTTTTTATAACATTAAATACTGTATATTACATATTAAATACATCTGATACATTCATACAGCTACAAAAAACAAGAGAGAGAGAGAGATCCTCCAAACTGAGACAAATTCCAAAATACTATTATCTAAAAAAAGCGGCCGGGCACTATGGCTCACGCCTGTAATCCCAGCACTTTGGGAGGCCAAGGCAGGTGGATTACCTGAGGTCAGGAGTTCAAGACCAGCCTGACCAACATGGTGAAACCCCGTCTCTACTAAAAAATACAAAATTTAGCTGGGCGTGGTGGCAGACAGCTATAATCCCAACTACTCGGGAGGCTGAGGCAGGAGAATCTCTTGAACCCAGGAGGTGGAGGTTGCATTGAGCTGAGATCATGCCATTGCACTCCAGCCTGGGCAAAACAGCGAGACTTGGTCTCCAAAATAAAAAAGGCAAGGTATAAAAATAGCACAGTATGCTGTCACTTGTGTAACATAAGGGGAAAAAGCAAATACAAGCATGTTTGCCTGAATACTTCTACAAAAATCAAAATAAAAAATCAAAAACAAAAATACCTGGTGAGTGTTCATAGATTGGGAGACTCAATATTGTTAAGATGCCAGTTCTACCAAAAATAATTGATAGATTCAACACAACCCCACTCAAAATCCCAGCAGCCTATTTTGTAGAAATTGACAAACTGGTTCTATGTAAATGAAAATGCAAAGGACAATGAATAACCAAAATAATTGTTAAAAAGAACAGTGTTGGAGGACTTACCCTACCTGATCTAAAGACACTACTTAGCAACAAGTTATATAATAATCAAGACCATTTAATATTGATGAAAAGAAACATATAGATCAACAGAACAGAATACAGTTAGATATAAACCCATATGTGTACAGTCAATTCACCAAAGATGCAAAGGCAATGTAATAGGAAAAAGAGTTTTTTTCAATAAATCATGCTGCATACTGGATCAAAAACAAAAAGGCAAGAAAAGAGAAGGAAGTATTAGATGAAACAGGCAAAACACACTAAGAAAGATGGTAGAAACCAGTCTAAGAATATCAACAATCATATAGTAATGTAAATAAATTAGGTAAGGTACTGTCATGAGCAGTTAAAAAAACGAGCAAAGTATAGCTATGTGGTTTACAATAAACACCTAAAACATTAAGAAACAGAAGGGGCCGGGCCCAGTGGCTCGCGCCTGTAATCCCAGCACTTTGGGAGGCCGAGGCAGGCAGATCACGGGGTCAAGAGATAGAGACCATCCTGGCCAACCTCATCTCTACTAAAAATACAAAAATTAACAGGGCGTGGTGGCGCATGCCTGTAGTCCCAGCTACTCGGGAGGCTGGGGCAGGAGAATAGCTTGAACCTGGGAGGCAGAGGTTGCAGTGAGCCGAGATCATGCCACTGCACTCTAGCCTGGCGACAGAGCGAGACTCAAAAAAAAAAAAAAAAAAAAAAGAAACAGAAAAACTGATGGGAAAACGTATACCAGGCAAATGGTAATCAAAAGAATGTTCAGTGGTAGGTGAACATCAGACAAAACAGATTTGTAAAGCAAAATGTGTTGATAGGAAAGTACAGAATCAATAAATAATTATAGGTGAAAATAAAAGGAAGATATATACTAATTCTACACTTGTATATATACCTAATAAAGGAGTCCACAGCAGGTCCTCCATTTCACTTCATTCAGTGTTATTTTGTTGTGAACTTGAGAAAATAAAATGATTTCCACCCGGGGCAACTGTCTGTGTAAAGACCAGCCCGGCCAACATGACAAAACCCCATCTCTAATAAAAATACAAAAATTTAGCCGGGTGTGGTGGCACAAGCCTGTAGTCCTAGCTGCTCAGGAGGCTGAGGCACAAGAATCGTTTGAACCCAGGAGGCAGAGGTTGAAGTAAGCCAAGATCGCACCACTACACTCTAGCCTTGGAGAGAGAGTGAGACTCCGTCTCAAAAAAAAAAAATGTCATAAAGTATATGATACTCATACAAATACAGGACAATAAACAATGCAGTATGAAAGTACTCAGTGAGCCCGCCATATTTGTTATTGTTTGTTTCTGAACTGTATGGTGGTAGGAAGTGCTCCTGACAATTTCTACTTTGCAAACATTTATTCCCGATTTAACCCAACACCATGACTGCCATCACTCACTTATCCACCAAAACCTGGGTAAATAATTATCTTAGTTGTTATTATTCTTTTTAAAATAAATGTATAGTTGACATTTATTTCAATGTTTAATATTAGAAGTGTGTTGGGTTCTTATTGAGAAGTTTGGTGATGCTTTTATGACTGGAAATATGCAGTAGGAACTTAACTCTTCTTTGTATCAATTAGCCTGTAGTAAAATTGGTTTTATTATACATCGTTTCACTTAAAGTCAGTTTCCAAGAACCTATAAGGATGTTAAGTGAGGACTTGTTGTGTTTCCATATGTGTATGTATCTATTTTATATATATATATATATATATATATATATATATATATATATATATATATAAAATTAGACAAAAATCGCAATGAAACTGAAAAACCAACACCTTAGTGGGAAATCAGTGCATCTCTCTGAAGTATCAATAGATTACACGGACAAGAAAACTAGCAAAAATATAAAACCTTGTACCAAGGATACATATTCTTCTCAAGCACACATGACACACTTAAGAAAAAGGTTATTAATCCATAAATTATGTCTCAAAAAAAACTCAAAGACTAGATGTCACATAAGACCACATTCTTCGATCCCAATGCAATTGAGAATCAATGTGAGAAATAAGTTAGAAATCCTCACACGCTTTGGAATTTAAAATCACATTTCTAAGTAATTCATGAGTCAAAAAAAATTATAGTAGAAAAATATTTGGATCTACACCGTAATTAAAATATTAAAACTTGTGTGAAGTTAAAGAAGTATTAAGAAGTAAAAATTTATAGTATTAAATACTTATATCACAAAAGAAATGCCAACGTGAGTAAACATCCAGCTTAAGAAGTTGGAAAAAGAACAGCATGATAAACCCAGGATAAACTGAAAACAAAGAAAATATTAAAGAGCAAGTCCATATAAACAATAACAACTGTGTAAAAAGGAAACAGAATGGCAGTATGGCAAAGATTGTAAAAATGTGAATACTAGGAACAACTTTATGCCAATATACTTGAAAACTAAGAGGAAATTGAAATTTTTCTAAAATACATAACTTACTAACACTGACCCAAGAAGAAATAACATGGCTGCATGGCTCTATTAAAATATTGTTTTGTAGTTAAAAATCTCACAAGACCCAGATAATTTTTCAGATGAGTTCTACTATGTATTCTAAGAATAAGTCATCCCAGGCACAAATACTTTCAGAAAACAAGTAACATTGATAATAAAACAAGACAAAGAGAATAGGGCCAGGTGCAGTGTCTCACGCCTATAGTGGGAGGCTGAGGCAAGGTGAAATGCTTGAGCCCAGGAGTTCAAGACTGGCCTGGACAACATGGCTAAACCTCATCTCTACAAAAACATTCAAAAATCAGCCAGACATAATGCTGTGCACTTGCAGTCTCAGCTACTAGGGAGGCTGAGGTGGGAGGATCTGTTAAGCCCAGGAGGTCAAGGCTGCAGTGAACCATGATTCTGCCACTTGTACTCTGGCCTGGGTGACAGAGCGAGACCCTGTCTCAAAAAAAAAAGAAAAAGAAAAAAAGAAAAAAGGAATAGGACAAAGGAAATTACAGATTGATCTCAATTTTTTAAATTTATGAAAAACACTAAACAAAATAATAGCAAATCTTAATCGAGTACTTTATCGTGTTAACATGTTAAAGAAGAAAAAGCACAAGATTATCTCAACAATGGTGGAAAAAGCATCAAACAAAACTTTAACACACATTCTTGATTTTTTAAGACAGCAAGGTGGCTGATTATAAAAGCATCTTATAAAAATCAACTGCATTTCTATACACACCAAACACTAAATGTAATTTAAAAAAGAGATTATGTGCCGGGCACGGTAGCTCATGCCTATAATCCTAGCACTTTGGGAGGCCAAGGCAGGTGGATTGCCTGAGCTCAGGAGTTCAAGACCAGCCTGGGCAACATGGTGAAACCGTCTCTCCTGAAATACAAAAAATTAGCCAGGCATGGCAGTGCGCGCCTGTAGTCTCACCTACTTGGGAGGCTAAGGCACGAGAATTGCTTGAACCTAGGAGGCGGAGGTTGCAGTGAGCCAAGATTGCACCACTGCACTCCAGCCTGGGTGACAGAGCAAGATTCTGTCTCCAAAAAAACAAATAAAAAAATAAATAAAAATGAAAATAAGAAAGAGATTATTAGAGAAACTAAAAACATAAGGTATACTGGAATAAAGTTAACAAAAAGTATGTGTGACTTTTATGATGAAAATTATTAAAATTATATTGCAAGACATTAAAGATCTAAAAAGAGGAGACATACTATGCTAATGTATGGACTGAATATTGTAAAACATTGTAAAAAGAATTGTTAATCCCTCCAGACTGGTCTATAACTGCAATGTAATTCCAATAAAAAACCCAACACAAATTTTTGAGTATGTATGTATACACATACTACGTCACATGTACAACCTATCTCTCGCCGGGGGGAGTCTCAATTTAAACAGCTGGAATCAAGAGACTTGATTCCATCTTTTATTGAAGATAAAAGAATAAATTATAAAATATCATACAGCAGTGAAAATAAATGAAATGCAACGTAGATTTCATAAACCACATTGAGTTTTAAAAGTCATAGAAAGCTAAATATGTGTTTTTCAAACTCAAAAACAGGCAAAACCACATACATATGTGATTTAAAAGTGGAAGAAAATGATAATGACATTCAACTTAGTGCTTAATTTTGGGGAAGAGCCAGGGATATGGGATAGGGAGGACAGGTATCCTATTTACCTATTTATAGCATATTTAAAGAACCAAATATCACCAGTAAATCGGATAGTACTGGTGATACCAGGGTCTTTAAATTGTCTAAAAGCCTCCTGAAAGTTCACTTTAACATTATGCTTGGTAACTTACATGCTTGTGGCAATATTTCATATGTGTCAAATGCTTCATAATAAAAAACTTTCAAATCATTAAGCCAGATCAGATTTCATAAAAACATATCTAGAATATTTTGTAAATTCCTGTCAAGAGGTTTGCTTGTCCTGAGCTGAATGCTCAAGGTAAGTTAGCTTTTGACACCTAACAAGCAAGCAACGTAGAAAAGAACAGCCAGCTGGTTTAAAGGCCAGAGTTCCCAGAAGCCCCTCAAACAGGCATCTCCCAGGAGGAACCACTAAAAACATATGGACAAGTAAGAAACTGATGATACAATGTATCATCTTATTTCTGTATAAATTGCCCTTTCGAGGTTCCATTTTGAAAGACTCTTGGAAAAGAAAATACTGCCATATTATTTTATCTTTACTTCCCATGAACATTCTGTATTATGCCTTTATGACATATTTTTGGTACCTCAATTGTCACTTTTTGGAGTTTGGGGTGCATTCACAGCAGGTTTGTTGCCTAAGCACCAATTAAGTACTCATGGCAGGGTACCTGATAGGCTTCAGCAGCTGAGGTTACCACCTGCTCCACCGCACCAACAACAAAGACTCCCTTCTTGATATGCTCCCTTAAGTACAGTCCAGCCGATGCAGAGTCCAGTAGATCATATATCTGCTCGTTGTAGATTTCAATAAAGGAACACTTACAAAGGAAACTCTTTCCAGCTCCAGCCTGTAAAAAAGAAGCCTCATTTAGATACATTATTTTCATGTGTTCATACCTAGTTTTCATGAGCATTAATTTTGCACTCGCTTCACAAGATGTAAATTTCCTATGCTATTATCCTTTAATACAATATAAGATACCTAAAAGTAAAAAAAATCTAGATAAATAGTTTTTTTGTTTTGTTTGAGATGGAGTCTCACTCTGTTGTCCAGGCTGCAGTGCAGTGGCGCGATCTTGGCTCACTGCAAGCTCTGCCTCCCAGGTTCACGCCATTCTTCTGCCTCAGCCTCCCGAGTAGCTGGGACTACAGGTGCCCGCCACCACGCCCGGCTAATTTTTTGTATTTTTAGTAGAGACGGGGTTTCACTGTGTTAGCCAGGATGGTCTCGATCTCCTGACCTCGTGATTTGCCTCGGCCTCCCAAAGTGCTGGGATTACAGGCGTGAGCCACCGTGCTCAGCTGATAACTAGTTTTAACACATCATTATATTTTAGAGCTGCATCAAACTGTGGTGCCAGGCACCCTAGAGGCCTCCACAGGTGCCTGGGAGCTAATACAGGGGGAGGAGAATTGAGCAGTCCAGTTGGGAAATTCCATTTTTGTCTGTCTTATATATTTGATGTCCTCATAAAGTTTTATTTGAAGCAAGTGTTATGTTCTTCAAACGATTGAAAATAATTTATTTTAAAAGACTTTATAGGATTTTTAACCATAGAAATGCATGGTACTAAATTATTTCACTGCCATACAATTTGTGTGTCTAATTTCAGTGTTAGGTGATTTCTGCAAAGGAGTAAATGGTAAACCAATGTTATATATTTCTTTGGTACACAAGTAATGGAACATAAAACACTAATGGTTCTAAGCCCCGAATTCACCAAGCTAAATCAGCACAACTGTGAGAAGGCCCAACCTGGGAGCCAATGCAAGAGGAAAGACCATATCCCCAGGGTGATGGAGCCATACCACATGTGGAGCACAAAGATCATGGAAGGCAGTAGCAGGTGCTACAAAGGTGGTGAGGATGAGTCCATCACTGCTGGATGTCATGAGGATTTAGGGACACCTGCAGTCACCTGTGAGCCTAGGTACAGGTAGATGATTAGGCTTAGTGTATTAATGTATCTGTTTTCCTCAGTTGAGATTTTCTTTACAGTTTCTCTCTTACAAAATCTTTTTTTGAGAGCCTCAGAAGCACTATTTTCCTTTCTTGTAAACCAGCAATTTGGGATAAAGGATAATGCATGTTTTATAAACTAAAAACTCAGTTGAGATAAAACAACTCAGAATCCTTAATATTATCCTCAGAATTGAAAGGTTTTTTTTTATGCCACGCTAGTCTATTCATATTGTAGAGTACCATCCATGCTCCACCATGTATCATGAGCTAATTATCAGTAGCTACCTATTCAAAATTAGACATTTCATAGAACCACTTTATTTTTACATTGTTTTACCTTTTCTTTTTCACGATCAATTAAGGAAAACAAATATTCAAAACTTCGTGGGATTACTCCTCTCAGGTTATGAGAAAAATTATCAGATTCAGATGGTCCTAAAAAAATGAAAAAAAAAACACTGGATTTTTATTCTATTCCAAGAGTCTTTCAAAATGGCAATTTACACAGAAATTAGATGATACACCATACAATCAGTTTCCTACTTGTGCTCCAAGCAAGTTAAATCTAGGTCTGTGAGAGAAATTGAAATTTTTCCAACTGCCAGGTACCAAAATCTGCAGGAATATCAAATAATTGTCCTTTATTGCAGCACATTTGGTCTCATAGACTGACCTGTGCTCCAGGCCTTGGCCCCATACTGTGTGACCATAGGCTAATTACTAAATCCCTCTTAAGCTGCAGAGTTCTCAATTATAAAATGGGGATAATAATGGTAATAAATATCACATAGGGTTATTGGAAAGAATTAACTGAGAGGCCAGGCGCAGTGGCTCACGCTTGTAATCCCAGCACTTTGGGAAGCTGAGGCGGGCGGATCACAAGTTCAGGAGATCGAGATCACGATGAAATCCCATCGTTACTAAAAATACAAAAAAAAAAGTAGCCGGGCGTGGTAGCGGGCGCCTGTAGTCCCAGCTACTCGGAGAGGCTGAGGCAGGAGAATGGCGTGAACCTGGGAGGCGGAGCTTGCAGTGAGCCGAGATGGCGCCACTGCACTCCAGCCTGGGCGACAGAGTGAGACTCCGTCTCAAAACAAAAAGAAAGAATTAACTGAGAGTGTAAAGGTAAAGCACTTAGAGCCATGTTAGTGCTTTAAACACATTAAGTACTAAAAATCAGGATTAGCTAGTTGATTTTTTTAAAATTAGGCAATAAAAGCCAAGCTGGTAAGAAAAGTACTGTAAGAATATCTTACAAGATTTCCACATAGACAGAAAAATGCAGAGTCTCTATTTTGTTACACTGGGAAAAGGAAGAGTGGATATGCAAATAGCAGGATTCTAAGGAATTCTAATTCAAGTTATAGCAATATTTACCAGAAAAGTATATATAGCTAGAAAAGATCTAGATCTATTTAACAATCAAAATATTGGTGAAGTATGCCTTAGAGACCAAAGGAACTAACAAAATGCTGACATGCACAAGAAAAATAGAGAATAAATTTTAAAATATAATAGTTGTCTTTGGTAGAAGGCCTTGTACCACACCTGGAATATTTAAAATGGTCCTTGTAATCTGTAGCTTAAGAAATATATAACAGAGGTAGAAAAATGCAAGTAAATAAAGAGAATGAATATTAGAACATGTAGATAATTTTACATCATTTTCCCATTGAAGAATATATTATATAAAGATATAGTATGTTTTGCCCCAATTCTCATGTTGAAATTTGATCCCCACTGTTGGAGGTGTCGCCTGCTGGGACATTTTTGGGTCATGGAGTGTGGGGGGCACAACCCCTCATGAAAGGCTTGGTGCCATTCTCATGGGAGTGAGTTCTCTTATTTCCCAAGAGAACTAGTTGTTGGAGAGAGCCTGGCACCTCCTCATCTCTCTCTCTCTTTGTCTCTCTCTCTCTCTCACTTTCCTCTCTCACCATGTAATCCCTGCATGCCCATTCCCCTTTGTCTTCTGCCATGAGTTGAAGCAGCATGAGGCCCTCACCAGAAGCCGAGCAGATGCTGGTGCCATGCTTCCTCTATGACCTGCAGAACTGTGAGCCAAGTAAACCTCTTTTCTTTATAAATTACCCAGCCTCAGGTATTCCTTTACAGCAACACAAATAGACTAAGACAAAGATTCAACAAATCTTTAATTACCTTCATCATCTCTTGCCTAACCCACTGCAGTATCTCCTAATCCCGCTCTATCCCCTAATCGTCTTTATTCCATTTAGCTGCCTGAGTAATCCTTTTAATATCAGATCATGTACTTCCTATTTGTTTATTTTAAAAAAGAACACTTCCAATAATGTCACATCATATTCAAAACAAAATCCAAAATCCTCACCAGGCCTATATGACCTGGCCTAGGGTATAGCTCCGACTTCCCATGCTACCAGCCCCTTATCCTGGAAAACTCCACTCTCAGTGGGTCTTCTGCTGGTCTTCAAACATCCTTGGGTGTGCACCCACCTCAGGGCCTGTGCAACTGCTGTTCCTCTGCCTGTAAGATTATTCTCTTGGACAGTCTCATGGTTCACTCTCATTTCACTTAATAACTCCAAAGGTCACCTCCTGAGAGGTCTTTCCTGACCCACCACCTAAAATAGCACCCTCTACTTTTTTCCATCCCTTTACATTGCTTTATTTTAATTCATAGCACTTATTACCTTTGGCATAATTTCTAGAGGTGTATTTGCTTTTAATTGTGTATTCCCTCTGCCTGAGAATCAGAAGGTCCACAAGAGCCAGGACACTGCCTTGTATTCAAGTAAACCAACAGTGTCTTGAAGAGTGCTGGGCATACTGTAAGTACAAGTATTCAATTATTTGTTGTTGTTGTTGTTATAACCTCAGAGAGCGAGGAAGACCTTTCTTACTACAACTCACAATTCAGAAGCCATTAAGGAAAAAGAAGCCAGGTGCAGTGGCTTCTGCCTGTAATCCCAGCACTTTGGGAGGCCGAGGCAGGTGGATCACTTGAGGTCGGGAGTTCGAGACCAGCCTGGCCAACATGGTGAGACGCGCCCCCCACCCCGTCTCTACTAAATATACAAAAATTAGCTGGGTGTGGTGGCGCATGCCTGCAATCCCAGCTACTTGGGAAGCTGAGGCTGGAGAATAGCCTTGAACCCAGGAGGCAAAGGTTGCAGTGAGCCAAGATTGTACCACTGCACTCTAGCCTAGGCGACAGGGGCAGGCTCCGTCTCAAAAAAAATAAAAAGAAGAAAAAGAAAAGAAACAAATTCAGCCATGTAAAATAAAACTTTAGCATAGAAAAAAAAACCTTAAGTAAGTCAAAAGACAAATGAAAAATCTAGAGAAAAATCTGGAATCCATATCATGGACAAAAGGCTAACTTCTCTGTTTTATAAGGAATATCCACAAATGAGTAAGAAAAAGTCAAGCTAATTTTTTAAATGGGAGAAAAAAGCTTGAATGGGCATTTCAACAGACAGGGTATTGATATATCGAATTAAACCTATGAAAGGTATTCAGTTGTCAATAGAAATAAATACACAATAAGATAATACTATACATACTCAAGAATGGCTAAAATTTTTTAAATTGACAATTTCAAGTATATATAAGGAAGTGGAGCAACTGGAACTTCCATATACTACTGAGATAATCACTTTGGGAAACTGTTGGGCAGAATCTACTAAAGCTAAATATACATATATCCTATGATCCAGCAATTCTCCTGGATACATATCCAACATAAATTATTTGAAAAGACACAAGAAAGATGTTCACAGCAACATTATTCGTATGGTTGAAAAGTTGAAATAATCCAAATGTCTATCAACAGTAGACTGGAAAATGTGTAGTATATTCATACGATAATATATTATACAGTAATGGAAATAAACTACTACTACATGCAACAACATGAGTGAATCGCAGAAACTTAACACTAAAAGACATCAGAAACAAAAGATACACAACAAAATATTATTTGTAGAGGATCAAAAACAAGCAATATTAATGATGACAGAAATCAGAGTAATTGGCATTCCAGGGGACAGGGTTTGGTAGTTACTGACCAGGAATCTTGATCTGGTTAGTGGTTATACAGGTGTATAAACATATACGAATTCATTAAATCCTACTGAAAAACTGTTTATTCAGCACCACTCTGTGCCAGGCATTGAGCTGGAAACATAGCTGCAAACATGATTAACACATGGACTTTGCTAGCAAAGAACTCACAACTTGGCAGAAGCCTAGGGAATTTCCCTAATTTCAAGAGATCAACATCATATATAGAAATTATGCCTTTCCCCAAAATGTTGTAGGTTACTGTTATCACAGAAAGAGTAGATTAAGCCAACAAAAGTTAATCTTTACTTACCCATCATAGTAAATGTCTTCCCTGAGCCAGTCTGTCCACTGTAAAAAATGTTTTACATATTATTTTTACACATAAAATTAAAAGACTACTCCTCCTATTATAATACTAGTGTATAAGTTTTCTCCACAAAAAGTTAGCTTATTTTCTTTCTATTTTTAAATTCTATTAGATAAAAAGTGAATGATCTGCCTCCTTTCTCTCCAATCTCCCTACAAAGAGCTAACTGCTGTTAATTGGCAAATGCTTCTATATTACACAAACATAGCCATCAGAGTTTTCATTTAATTTTTATTTACCAAAATTGGGATGATGCTCTTCATACTGCTTTGCAACCTATTTTTCCCTTAATTTTACCTCAGATATCTTCCTAGGTCAGCAATAGAGGTCTGCCTCATTATTTTTAATAGCTACACAGTATTCCATGGTTTTGGGATCATATAGCATCTTGCAGCACCATAATTTATTTAACCAGAATCAAATGAACTTTTGTTTCCAATTTTTGCTATGCCAAGTAATACAGCATTTCCTTTCCTAAATTCTTTGTCTTTAAAAGATACTAAAATCTCTTCATTTAAATATAAAGCAATAAAAAAATTCTTATGCTATAGGTTTTTGTGCAATGTCATCTCTCCTGTTATCCCACTTAACAGAAACAAGAGTAACAAAAAACTAAAAGTAAAAACGTTGAAGCCAGGCAGTTCCAGCTACTGAGGAGGCTGAAGTAGAAAGATGGCTTGAGCCCAGGAGTTCCAGGCTGTGGTGCACTAGAATCACAGCTGTGGATAGCCACTGCACTCCAGGACTGGGCAACATAACAAGACTCCATCTCTTTTAAAAAAAAAAAAAAAAAAAAAAGTTGTATTTTAAAGATGTTAATCAAGATATCAAAAGACTTTAGCTTAGATTCACAGCAAAAACAGAAAATTTTGGATTTACTTTTTCATTAAATGCCCCCCAAAACTAGAAAACAGTATGCTATAGTTTTTTACCCCCTTCTTCTGGAAGAAAAGAGGGAAAAAAATTCTTTAGTAACTCAGAATGAGAAATGGATATTATTGAGTCCTCTACAAATAGGGTAATCCTTTTTTTTTTTTTTTTTTTCACTCTGTCACCCAGGCTGGAGTGCAGTGGCACGATCTCGGCTCACTGCAACCTCCACCCTCCGGGTTCAAATGATTCTCCTTCCTCAGCCTCCTGAGTAGCTGGGACTACAGGCATCTGCCACCACGCCCGGCTAATTTTTTGTATTTTTAGTAGAGATGGGGTTTCACCATCTTGGCCAGGCTGGTCTTGAACTCCTGACCTCGTGATCCACGCACCTCGGCCCCCCAAAGTGCTGGGATTACAGGTGTGAGCCACCGTGCCCAGCCACAAATAGGGTAATCCTATAGATTATTGTCCAAACAGGCACTTGAGAGTGAAGAGGACACTACTAATAATTACTTGACAATTGGTATTGTCCTCAGTAAACCAGACAGTATACCCACCCTGCCATGTATTACCTAGCTCTGTCTGCTGAGAAGGCCTAGAAGCAATGGCATTCCAATAGCAACAAACCAAACACACCTAGCGCCCAGATCTTGGTTTCTAAATACCATGCTCCAATAAAAGGAATTAGGGTTCATTGGTGAAATGGCTGATTCTAGGCGTAGGTCAGGGAAAACACAAGATGAGCCCAGAGCATCTTGTAGCATCATAAAGTAAGAAGGGGCTCAAAAAACAAAAGGATGAGCTATAGCAAAGGGACACAAAAACCAACCTCAAGGAGGGCCCATTGGGCAAAGCTGGAACAACAAGAACAACAAGGTAAATAATTTTTAGTACTGGATTATAACCTAAAGAATAAAATAAATGCATATCCATAACATATAAAGAATTGAATAAATGTGGAAAACAGACAAATCTTTCTTTTTTGTTTTGGTTTTTTTTTTTTTTTTTTTTTTGAGGCGGAGTCTCGCCCTGTCACCCAGGCTGGAGTGCAGTGGTGCAATCTCGGCTCACTGCAACCTCTGCCTCCTGGGTTCAAGTGATTCCTGCCTCAGCCTCCCAAGTAGCTGGGACTACAGGCGACCACTACCACATCCAGCTATTTTTTTTGTATTTTTAGTAGAGACGGGGGTCTCACCATGTTGGCCTGACTGGTCTTGAACTCCTGAACTCCAGTGACCCATCCACCTCAGCCTCCCAAAGTGCTAGGATTACAGGCGTGAGCCACCACGCCTGGCTGGACAAACTTTCTTACAAAAAAAAGTTATATATATATAGATAGACAGATACTCTGCTCTACACTACTCCTCTACCTTGGAGTGTAATCCCTGCTACCTTGATAGCCAGGAGGGGCCAATCTAATCATTAGTCCCTAAAATCAGAAAACCTTTTTTAGCTGCTGTCAGAGGGAGGTGTGACTAAGGAAGAAGAGTCAAAGAGTTACATGTTGTTGGTTTTGAAGATAAACAGGGCTGTAAGCTAAGTAATGTGGGTGGCCTCTAGCAGCTGAAAAAGGCAAAGAAACAAATTTTCCAGAAAGCAACAAGGCTGCCAAAAGAATTGCATCCCTGCTGACGCCTTGATTTTACCTGTGAGAGACCCATGTTGAACTTTTCACTTACAGAACTGTAACATAATACATTTGTGTTGTTTTAAGCCACTACGTTTGTGGTAATTTGTTACAACAGCAACAGGAAAATAATTCAAGCATGTACTATGTATAAGGACACAGTCAACAACTTACTATGCAAAGATGGTACCATTATAACCGCTCATGCAAGACTCCACAATGCTTTTAGCCACAGTTGCGAATACAGATTCCTACAAATGTAACCAAACATGTTAACATATCATAAAAATGAAAACATTTTTCCTAAATTGCATTCTACAATGTAACAGCAAAAATTGCTTAGTAATAACATGGATAACATCCACTACAGAAAAAAGGCTAAACTATCTAAGATGATTCAACTTTACACATAATTACATCTATTAATCTCCTATACACCTATAGATTTAAAGCACACAACTAAACTTTATACAGAATTTTGTAGAGCATATTGCATGTAGATATTGTACTGGTACTAGCATAAATAAACGGCTGTACATCTTCTTCAGTGATTTTTCTCATAAGTTTGCACTGAACAGTCAATACCTCCATTTTATTTTCATTTTTACCTACAAGGAGATGCAGTCTTACTACAAATGCAAGAACTCCCAACCCTACACTGTTTATTTTTATTTATTTTTGAGATGGAGTCTCACTCTGTCGCCTTTAGTGCAATGGCGCAATCTCGGCTCACTGAAACTTCCGCCTCCCAGGTTCAAGCAATTCTCCTGCCTCAGCCTCCTGTGTAGCTGGGACTACAGGTGCACACCACCATGCCTGGCTAATTTTTTATTTTTAGTAGAAACGGGGTTTCACCATGTTAGTCAGGCTAGTCTCAAACTCCTGACCTCGTGATCCGCCCACCTCCACCTCCCAAAGTGCTGGGATTACAGGCGTGAGCCACAGCACCCAGTCCTCGTTTTACTTATCTATTGGCCAGCGATGCTCCACATAAAAAAAAGATCCAAAGATCTAAATGTTGGCCCAAAAACATCCATATGTATAAGGGAATACTTAAGATCTGTGATGGGCTGCATGAAGTGGCTCACACCTGTAATCCTAGCACTTAGGGAAGCCAAGATGGGAGGACTGCTTGAGGCCAGGAGTTCGAGACCAGCCTAGGGAACATAGTAAGACTCCATCTCTACAAAAAATTTAAAATTTAGCTTGGCATAACTGAGATTTATCCTGGAATGAAAAAAAAATTAGCCAAGCATAGTGGCATATGCCTGTAATCACAGCTACTTGGGAGGCTAAGCAGGAGGATTATTTGTGCACTCCAGCCTTGGCAACAAAGCAAGACACCATCTCTTACAAAAAAAAAAAAAAAAAAAAATCTGTGATGTTCAGTATAGTAGCCATCAGTTATATGTAGCTATTTAGATTTAAATTAATTGAACGAAACTTAAAAGCCAGTTCTTCATACACACTAACCATATTAAAAGTGCTCAGGAGCCACATGTGACTAGTGCATCTGAGGCACTGAATTTTAAATTTGATTTAATTTTAATTAATTTAAACTCATATAGTCACATTTGGCTAGAGGCTATTGTAACAGACAGCACAGATACAGAACATTTCCATCACTGCAGAAAGTTCCATTGGATAGCACTAACTAGGTCTTAATTAAGTTGACCTTAATTAGAAAAGCAGTTGTTGACATCACGGTAATCCTAAATCCTTAGATTAGGCAGTTCAACAGTACTTCTCAATCATCCACTGGCTCCAAAAAGTGCATCTTCACTAACCTCCAGTGCCTCAGATGCATGAGCCACACTTTTAATATGACTAGTGTATATGAGGAACTGACTTTCAAGTTTTATTTAATTAATTTAAATCTAAATAGCCACATATAACTAATGGCTACTACAATGAACATCACAGATCTTTTTTTTTTTTTTTTAAGAGATAGAGTCTTGCTCTGTTGCCAAGGCTGGAGTGCAGTGGCACCATCATAGCTCACTGCAGCCTCAAACTCCTGGGCTCAAGTGATCCTCCTGCCTTAGCCCTCCAAGTAGCTGGGATAACAGGCATGTGCCACTACGCCCATAATTTCCTATCACTTAGTGGGGGGAAAAAAAAAAAAGAAGGCTTTTGTCATTCTGCTACAAAGTTCGATGAAAAAAGGAGAATACTATTTAATAAGATTAAATTTAAAATATTTATGGAACGTTTCAGTCTCCTTATTTGAGACGGATGAAATTAAAAAGAGACCAGCCCAGAAAAGAAATTTTTTTTTTTTTTTTTGAGACAGAGTCTTGCTCTGTTGCCCAGTCTGGAGTGCAGTGGTGCGATCTCCGCTCACTGCAAGCTCCGCCTCCTAGGTTCATGCCATTCTCTTGCCTCAGCCTCCCGAGTAGCTAGGACTACAGGTGCCCACTACCACAACCAGCTAATTTTTTGTATTTTTAGTATAGACGGGGTTTCACTGTGTTAGCCAGGATGATCTCGATCTCCTGACCTCATGATTTGCCCCCTCAGCTTCCCAAAGTGCTGGGATCACAGGCATGAGCCACCACGCCTGGCCAAGAAATGAAATTTGGAGGCTTATATGTTCCAGGTAAAAAGTAAAGTTTCCAGCGAGGTGGCTCACACCTGTAATCCCAGCACTTTGGGAGGCTGAGGCGGGCAGATCACGAGGTCGAGAGATCAAGACCATCCTGGCCAACATGGTGAAACCCCATCTCTACTAAAAATACAAAAATTAGCTAGGCATGGTGGCGCGCACCTGTAGTCCTAGCTACTCGGGAGGCTGAGGCAGGAGAATCACTTGAACCCGGGAGGCAGAGGGTGCAGTGAGCCGAGATCATGCCACTGCACTCCAGCCTGGTGACAGAGTGAGACTCCTTTTCAAAAAAAAAAAAAAGTTAAGTTTCTAATTATCATTACCTGAGTGGTATCCACATCTGCAACATGATCAAACGTGAAGGTCTTGGGCTCAGGGTTGGAGTGCAGCCGGAGACTCGTGGAGGACAGCACAGATAAGCATAAGTTCTGCTCTCCATCAGCTGACCCAGATCTTTCTGCAGGAGGACGAATTCGCACAAAAACTTTGATGGCATCACCTTCATTACTAAAGACAAAAAAAAGAAAGTAACAGTTCAGTTTATTGAAGAAGAAAACTGAAAAAGGATCCAAGTCTCATATTGCCTATAATGTTTCTATAATGAGTTTCTCCAACAAAGCCCAAGACATATCCCATACAAATTTACCTCTTTTTTTTTTTGAGATGGAGTTTCATTCTTGTTGCCCAGGCTGGAGTGCAATGGTGCAGTCTTGGCTCACTGCAACCTCCACCTCCTGGGTTCAAGTGATTCACCTGCCTCAGCCTCCCAAGTAGCTGGGATTACAGGGATCTGCCATCACACCCAGCTAATTTTTGTACTTTTAGTAGAGACAGGGTTTCACCATACTGGCCAGGCTGATCTTGAACTCCTGACCTCAGGTTATCTGCCCACCTTGGCCTCCCAAAGTGCTGGGATTACTGGCGTGAGCCCTGCACCCAGCCAAATTTATCTCTTTTTACAGAGTCTCACATGACCTATACCTTTTACTGATTTACTTCACAATAGGCACCTTCACATCCCTTTACTTGAACTCAAAGGGAGTGTGTGTTCATTGCATGGAGTTCCAAGTAGTGCTTGTCTCTCATTTCCCTCTTACTAGCAATAATAAA